>NC_000002.12:103853254-104156284 GCF_000001405.40 Homo sapiens
ATGTACTCAAAATGTTGAATATTATGCTTGTGCCTGGGCATAAAAAAATCTTAATTTTTAAGATTTTAAAAATAATATTGGCCAAATAGAGTTTAATTAGAATAAAGCAACCAAAAAACACAGCATTTTATATCACAATTAGATGTTATTTGAGATCTTATGATGGAATTTTTGGTTCTTTTGACAGCACAGGAAAAAAAGAAAGACTTGACTGCTATTCGGAAAGATTGAAAAATTTGAAGTTTATGAATTTATACTAATTAATAAATGGAAACAAAACAAAAATACCTCAAAGCAGTTGCCAGGATAGCCAAGAAACGAGTTAGAAGCTAAATGCTGAAGGCAGCAAAACGTGATAGAAGAGTCTCTGGTGACTCATAAGGTACCATGGTAGTCTTTGCCTCAGAGCACCTAACCAGAATTTTACGTGGAAAAATAATTTAAAAAAAACTTCCAACTTGTTCAAACTATTGTTATTTTGTTTCTCTCTTCTAAAAAGATTGGTCCCATATCCTAAGAAATTCACTTTTCTTCTTGATGTTTTTGTACATTCTCTAATTTTTCTACCATGAACATGAGCTAATTTGTAAATATAAAACTAAACACATGAAGTCAGCACAATTATCAGGATGCCTATATAGAAACAGTAGAATCCAAAGTAAGGGAAGTTACTGAAAATGTTGAGTATTCTGCTTGTTTCAGGGCTTAAGATAAATAATAATGAAAATAATAATGGTCAAAAATAATAATGGTCAAAAAAGATAAAGCATTATATATCACAATTAGATGTTATTGAGATCTTGTGATGGAATTTGGGGTTCTTTTATCTGACAGTGTAAGAAGAAAGGAAAGACTTGACTGTTGTTGTTAAGTATTGGTTTTAAATGAAGATGAAATAGGCATGATTTTAATAGTACAAATGCCCAGAAGATAAATGGTAAGGTACTGTGACACAAAAAGCAACTCAATAAAGAGGAACATTTGTACCTCCAAGCTTCCTAGAAATGGAATTTCTTACACTGAAAGAAAGGAAGGGCTAGGTCACAGGAAATGGCCACAAAGAGATGGACTGCTTGAGTATGTGGATTCTACACTTGGTAGCCTATGTAATAGATTCTGATTCCTCAGGAGACTCCTATATTTCAGTTCTGAGATTCTCTGACTACATGAGTGTATTTTGATTATTTAAGGGAGTATCAACTAGGGTGCTCCCTTATTGATTTGAGTATATAAGCAATAAAGCTCATAGGTTTAATTTCATTAGTTACAAGTTATACTGGTTAACTTTTTTTTTTTTTTTTTTTTTTTTTTGAGACAGAGTCTTGCTCTGTTACCCAGGCTGAAGTGCAGTGGCGTGATCTCGGCTCACTGCAACCTCTGCCTCCCAGATTCAAACAATTCTCCTGCCTCAGGCTCCCGAGTAGCTGGAAATACAGATGCAGGCCACCAGGCCCAGCTAATTTTTGTATTTTTAGTAGAGACGGGGTTTCACCATGTTGGCCAGGCTGGAACTCCTGACCTCAGGTAATCCTCCCACCTCAGCCTCCCAAAGTGCTGGGATTACATTCATGAGCCACCGTGCCCACCAGTACTGGTTGACTTTAAAAAAAATCTTTTAATTAACACATAATAGTTGTACATGTCTATGGAGTACATGGTGTTGTTGCAATACATATAGTGCATATGTGCAATACATATAGTACAATCAACTCAGGGTAATTAGCATATCTATCATCTCCAACATTGATTATTTATTTGTATTGGGAACATTTAATATCTTCCTTCTAACTAGTTGAAACTATATAATATGTTATTATTAACTATAGTCATCCTACAGTGCTATACAACACTACCACTAGTCCTCCCATCTAGCTGTAATTTTTTGTCCTTTAACAAATCTCTCCCAATAATTCATTTCATAGAGATGAATTAAAATACCCAAACTCAACGCTGTATTGCCTTGCATGATACAGGTAATTCTAAACCAAAGTTGACACTGTACACAGGATCATCTCACAATTTTTCACTGCACTATAAATGCTGCTTAGTATGTACAGTTAGAACTCACTAAACATAATGGATAGGTTCTTGGAAACTATGACTTTAAGTGAAATGACATATAAGATAACCAATTTCGCCATAGGCTAGTTGTTATAAATAAGAGTAAAGTTTCTATAGCATATTTCTCTGGTTAAAAAATTTCACCAAACTTCTAAATGAAGACCAGAAAACTCTAACATTAGACATGGAAATAAATGTGAGCTATACATACATTTAAGAAAGACTAATAAAAACAAGTAAGATAATTACTTACCTGCTTATTCCAGTTCAGGGTCTCAGGTGGCCAGAGCCTATCCCAGCAGCTCGGGTGCCAGGCAGGAGCCCACCCTGGACAGGACACCATCCCATCCCATGGCACACGCACATGCGCGCGCACACACACACACACACACACACACACATTCACTCACACTGGGACCAGGTGATATTCTGTTTCACTAGATGGGCACAGCTTTGGGATGTGGCAGGAAACCCACACAGACATGAGGAGAACATGACAACTCCACACAGATAGTGGCCTTAGCTGAGAATCGATATTTTTTCTCATCAACATTATAATAAAGTGATGTTGAATGAAGCAATGTTATTCCAAGACCTGCTATAGCTGCTGAGAAAAGTGGCCATGCAGTCACAGAGCCTCTGTAAATATAAACTTTAGAAGAGGCCTTGTGGCTTTTTATCTCAGAGTGTCACTTGTCTTTATAAGAGATGGTAAAAGACACTTTACTATCTATCCACTTTACCATTGTTTGACACCTCCCTCCCCAATGCGGCATGCAATTGGCCATGGAGGGACATTTCTTCCTGGAGACCTCCCTCAATGCATTCTGCTGGAGCGATCCAAGTAGCAAAGGCCTCAGACCTGCCTCGGACATCGCAATTTCCCTGACAAGTGGATGCAACTCCCAACCCTCACACCTTACAACTTCTCCTGAATTCTCCAGCTTGTACTGAAATTGACATGAATGCCGAACAACTGCAATGGGCAATTATAGTAATTCTGAAACTGGGGAGAGAGGAAAGCAGCTGAATGAAGTAGGTTCTGCCTCTCTGTTGGAAGAACTGTTAAATAAAGAGGGTGGGAATCTAGCAGTCCCTTGAGAGCATCTTAGCAGAGGCAGGCACAGACAAGCCTGGTGAACCCTGTCCTAGACGGGTACTGTCAGCTTGCCTTTTTATGGGCACACACACTGAGGCAGTGCCATTGCGAACTCAGTCACCAGATGTCTCATGAGGCTTTTGTGGGGAGAATTGCTCATCACCCCAACTGGCTACACACCACGGAGGCAACTGCCCTCTGCTAATTGCAAGAAGTGCTGAAACAAGTCTTAGGTTCTGGCCAGGTGCTGGGTGAATGTAATTTCCTTGCAGAGTCTCTAACCCATAATTGGATACTTGCAAACGCTTCTGCTGGTGATGGTGTCCATGCTGCTGCTGCTGAGATTCATGATGAGTTAGGCACAATCTCGGTAGGAACTGGAGCACACAGAACAACTCCACCATCCACAGAGTTCACCGCCATGTTATTTGTTATAACATGGTCCATTTTTCTTCCCCCTGCTGAGTAGAAGCTGTTAGGAAGAGATTAGAAAGCCTATAACCATAATGGAATATAAGGGGTCACAAGGATAAGAGGAAACTAAGACCTAAAGGAAATAAGAGAGAGAAGAAAGTAGAATTGCTTGGGAAAGTTTGGCTGAAATGGGTCCTTAGTTTAAATTTACTTTTGGTTTAAGAAGTAGCGCTCAAGGTTAAAGCACGATGTAGTCTCTACACGTATATCCCATGTGGAGTGAGGACAGGTGTAGAACTGCCAAGACTCCGATTGAAGAAACCACCTGAAATCCCCTGACTGGCAGCCTTGGTGGAGGGAGGTGTCCAGGCATGGCTTGTGTGCTGGTCCACGGACAAGGTGAGCTCGGCATGCGATTTTCTCTGGCAAACCTACCTGTAAACAGGGTGGATTAGATTGGAGATTCCTCTTAATGCCTGAAGAGGCTCACATGCTTCAGAAGCCAGTTGGCTGCCTACACATCTTACTTTTCAGACATAATAATCATTCAGAGAGACAGTATGCAAAGTGAGACTGTCAAAAGTGGGGTGAAATGACATTCATAGGTAATTTGTGATGCTAGTAATCCAAACTATTATTATTAAATTTTTTTTACCTATTTGGGATGTTTTTATATGCTGTACATGAGAAAACAAAACCTTCCCTAACTCAGAGGGAAATGCAACCTCTGCATTTTGATTTACCTCCCTCAAGGTAAACCTCCCTCGATGTATCCTAGCTGCCCTCATGTCTGGATAAGCAACACGAAGTTCCCAGCTTCTAGCACAGGAGAATCTAGGCATGCAGATTAGGTTTAGTGCTATTTGACATTTAAATATCCAATTTGCTGAGATGACACATAGAGACTATAGTTATTTGTGTTACCACTGTGAGTATGTGTCAGTTGTCCTAGAATTTTGCCTGTGGTGGTGAGGAGCAATGGAGAGGAAGAGTGGCAGGGAGCGTAACAATCAAACATACACTTTTAAAGAGTAGAGGTTTGGGCTTTTCCATGACTGCAGTGATTTTTGGTGACGATTATGCTGGCTCAGATGGTCAAATCATATTTTATTAGAGTGACTATTCAACAAGGACAGATCCAAGGAAAGCCCTCATCACTGTTGGCTAAAGCATGGGCTTCTCAGTCTGGCAATCCCATGTATGAATTAGCTACAACAAATGGCACTCTGTGACCCCATTGTAGATGGCAGTAGTGTAAAGTGTTTGCTAATGGCATGTACTTGGACTCCTTGTTTCTGCCCTTTTGTAGAAGCTAAAAGATACTGTGTGTCTGAGGGAGATGATGTTAAGCTTCCCATCTGTGGCCACATTTGTCAAAATAAAGCAAAACCACCTTCCGTCATGGCTGCAAGGGTGCTGTGCCATTTGAGTATAAATCACGTATTAACAGATTGGCCATAATACCTAAGAGAATAAGATGTGCCTGCTTTAAAGGCAAAAGCTTGTATCATGCCAGATGCACTTCATTTACAAAGCACTTCAAGGCTGACCACGTGTGCCCATAACACCTTTGTCACTAGGTGCCAGAGTTAGAAGGTCAGGGAAATGAGCTTGTGTAAGTTTTGTGACAGATGGTTGTCACTCACAGCTGTTTATGCCTTCAAAACTGCTGATAAATAATTGCAAGGCATGTATCTCTGGAGTTGTGAAGAATTCTGTGTCTTGTATACTCCAGTCATATTCTTTATTTTTATTCTCTTTTAGTTTTATTTTTTTGAGGTGACGTCTTGCTCTTTCGCCCAGGCTAGAGTGCAGTGGTATGATCTTGGCTCACTGCAACCTCTGCCTCCCAGGTTCAAGGGATTCTCCTGCCTCAGCGTCCCAAGTAGCTGGGACTACAGGTGTGCACCACCACACCCAGCTAATTTTTGTATTTTTAGTACAGACAGGGTTTCACCATGCTGGCTAGGCTGGTCTCAAACTCCTGACCTCCAGTGATCCACCTGTCTTGGCCTCCCAAAGTGCTGGAATTACAGGTGTGAACCACCGGGCCTGGCCTCCAGTCATATTCTTTAAGGGCCCTTTTGCGTTTAAGCCACACAAACCCTCAGGGGAAAAAATTCATTCTGCACAAACATATATAAAGTGTAACTTAAAATTGGGAAATAATAAATTGGCATCAGGGAAGCTCTCCTGGATCCCTGCTGAAAGGTAAAATCCAGAGTTAAAAATAATTCTCCACTCTCCTACCCCTGTGCGTGCACAAACACACACACACTCACACACACACTCACACAGCTTAGATCCAAAACTTATAGCTGTCTTCCATACTACATTAATGTCTTAATCTATTTGATACAGTTACAAAATGATTATGTGTATACTCTACATAACTACATAAAGATATAATTTATATATTTCCTTTTGATCTCAGAGTTTTCTTCACCTCTTCTCTTGTATCAGTCTCACCATGCTCCCACAATAAACTGCCACAAACAAGATGGCTTAAAAATAACAGAAATGTATTCTCTCACAGTCCTGGAGGTGAGCCATCTGAAATCAAGGTCTCAGCAGGGCCATGCTCCCTCTGAAGGCTCTAGGAGGGATTTCTCCCTGGGCTTTGTGGTCTTCTGGCTCCCGGCTTACCTTCCCTGGTGGGTGTATTACTCCAGTCTCTGCTTCTGCCTTTAGATGGCCTTCTGCTCTAGGTATTCTCTGTGGATCCTGTCCTCTTCTCATAAGGGCACTGGTTATTAGGCCCACCCGAATCCAGCATGACTTCATCTTATCTTAATGAATTGCATCTGCAAAGACCCTATTTCCAAATAAAATTACATTCTGAGGTTTCAGGTAGACCTGAACTTTTTGGAGATAGAATTCAACCCACTACAGGAGTTGCTATAAAGGAGTTACCTAATTTGGGCATTCATCTGATCTATTATTGGTAAGCATGTGGGGAGATAAAAATGATTCCTTGCTTCTATGGTGTTTCAGTTATTGCTGAAATCTTCAAATCAAAAGATTCCAGACGCTCATAAAGAGACATTTGAGGACAGTGGTGCTCTACCTGCTCCTTGGTCATGTGAAATGGTGCCACAAGGTCTGGATTTGGAAAAGGATCGCAATGTTGAAAGATAACTATTTCTCCAAGCTGTTAGTTTCTAGTCCAAGATGTGCCCCTTGGAAACCAGCCACAAGTATGTCTCTGAAGAATTTTCACATTGCCTATTGACTTACACACACACACACACAGTCACACCTCTCAAGCTGTTGGAAGCCAAATTGATCTTTACCTTTCTCGCACTACCCTTTTCCAGCACAGTTGCTTCCAGATTTGAGTTTCTGTATCAGTAACCAAATGAGTGTGACCAAGCTCCTTTACTGAAAGCACACACACAAACAAAAACCACAGATCAGAAACATGAAAATGTACTCAATTTATGTGACTAGTGTGGTTACTTTCACATTAGGTCAAGTTATGATAAGAAAGGAGGATCGGGGTGATATTAAAAAGAAAGCCAAAGAGAGAAAGCATGAGGAGAGAGAGACAAGAGTAAGAGAAGAATGATGGGGAGAAAGTGGCTTAAACTTGATATGAGCTGGGAGAATTTTAGATGAAAAAATAAATTACCACATTTTCTTAAAACACAAGACAATGTCACCAGCTGAGCAGAATTTTGTTTACAACTAATAACTGACATCCACATAGCAGGCACTGAACACCAGGTGCTGTTCTTTCTGAATACCAAACACATTTTCTCTTTCTTTTTTTCTTTCTCTCTAATTTAATCCTCACAACAACCTGTGATCTAATTTTATATCCAGAAACTGAAGTGCAGAACTTAGAACTTGCCCAAGAATTGCAAGCAGGTCTGCTGGCTCCAGATTCTGGGTTCTGTCTCCAATTATAAAGTGCTGGTTGGAAGGTAAACATCTAACATTCAGTATACAACCAGTAGTCATCTATTATACAAGTAGTTTGGAAAAGAGTTTCGTACTCTGCCACCTAATACCATTAAACACACACAGCTGCTTGGTGACCCAACAATTCCACTCCCAGCAATTCCGTACACACGTAGAAGAGGCAACACATACAAGAATGCTCACAGCAGTCAGATTCATAACTGCACATAAGTAGAAACAACCCATATGTTCATCGACAGTCGATTAGATAATCACAGTGTGACTCTCACAGAATAATTCTGGACAACACTGAAAAACTACATTTATATGCATGAGAATGGAGGAGTCTAAGAAATGTTGGATTGAGGGGGCAAAAAGCCAGAGATATTTTATAAAGATTAAACAGGAGCCACAGTTAATAATATGCTTTTAGAGACACATGCACTGGTAAAACTATGGAAGAAAAAAATAAAAATAAAAATAAGTGGTGACCTTGTAGTGGGGAGGGAAGAAGTAGAATTGGGGAGATACAAGATGTGTCACAAACTTTTAACTTTGAGTTAAGGAGTGGGATCTTCGGTATGATGTACTTTCCTTCTTTCTTACCTTCATAAACATTGTGCATGGGGTGTGGTTAATTTCCATTATCTTAAAAAGAAAATGAATAAAAGATAATGGAGTGAACATGGTATGGAAGGGATTATGGAGGTAAGGGGTAGATTACTCAGGCTGAGAAGTAACTAAGATAGAACTTAGTGAATAAATACTTCAGGAATAAATTATGAAGTGGTACATCTACATAATTTTACTGGCTGTTCTAGTTTCAAATTACATGTTCAATTCAGAGCTCCCAAATATTCAGTTTTACATTACTATCTGGTGAGAGTGAAATATTTTCATCCACAAAGGGAAAAAAAATACAAATGCAAATGGAATGAACTAGAAACACATCAAAATTTCAGTTATCCATGGATAGGAATGTGAATATAGCATGTATCAGAAAATGATTTTGGCTACAAGTTTGTCTACAAGGTTAATAAAAATTGCTATTCTCAGTAACAGTTTGTAAAGCTGAAGTTCTTTGTAGAGGATAAGTAAAAGTTGCATGCAGGGTGTTAATGCATCCTGTAGCTTTTATTTAAGACTGTATGAAACAGACAATGGGCCAAACACACCCAGTATGCTTTGAGAATTGACTTTAACATATTTTCTGGCTATTTTAAAGAAAAAACTAAATAAACACTCATCTGTTGCTTTATTTTAGTACCTGATGATACTGAGATAGTCTCAGAACTTCTTACCTCTACATTTTAACCTAATTTTTAACAACTATATAGTAAGATACCTATGCCATAGTTATATGGTGTGAGGTACAAGAGTAGTTCAATAAATATGTGTTGAATAAACGTATTAAACAAATAAGGGGTCTCACAGTGTGGGTAGCTCTATAATACTCTGGGAATTTTGTGCCTGTGCATTTGCAAACTTTTTGTTTCTTCTTCTAAGATTTGCATCCTATTTAGGAACTTCAGTTCACAAACTTACTTTCCTAAACCCTCTAAATACAGTATTCTCTCCTATCCACCTGTTTCTACTTAGTTTTCAAGGCCATAGGGCTGGCAAAGCGTCTCGGGTTAACCAGGAAATGTTGACAAGGAAAAAGGAGGGAAGAAATGTGAACAGAGTTGCTCCTTTTGGATGATTAATGTAATCCATGGAGTTAATATAAAGTAATATATTTTATTTCTTTATTTTAAAGGTAAACAATATTAGTACCCACTCCTCACACAATTTTTTTTTAAAGAATCCGTGTAACTTGTCAAAACATAGTGATGCTATAACCACCTTTGTATCTATATGGGAAAAGAAGCATCCTTTTTCAATTGTTTAAACTTTATTTATGTAAGATGCATATATTTAAAATAAAAACAAAATTTTAATTGACAAGTAACTATTTTAAATATTAATAATATTCAATAATGTCATAGTTTATTATTTTAAAATTATTTTATTTAAATCCTTTTGAAGAATTATCAATATAAGATAGATTTTGTGTCAAAGCACAAGATTTTATTAAGAATGAACAAAGAAGAAAAAAGACTTGCATTTATTGAGCACAAGATATATGCCAGTGGTTCTCAAATGGGTTATTTCATGAATTATTCCAATAGGTCTCTAAAGGATATATTATCCTTATCTCAAATCAGCAACCGGAGATTCAGAAAAGCTAAATAACTTGCCCACGGTCACACAGTTGACGTTGATAGAACCAAGATTCAAATATTCTCCTTCTAATGCATATTATCATATCATATTATTATATTATATTATCATAATATATTATCATATATTATGCATATAATGCATATTATTATAATAATGCAAATATTCTCCTTCTAATACTCTCTTTCTTTGCTTTGTGGCAAAGGCCTGACTTCTGTAACTTAAGTTCTGAAGGAAATCAATATGTTAACATCCTTTCTATCCAAAAAGGCATTCAAGTAAATCTTTTTATTATCAATTTCTTCTCACATTGATAAGTGGAGAGTTAAAGAGAAAGAAATTAAAATACATAATGGTGCTATAGACAACTGAGAAGATAGATGTATGTATTATCTTCACATAGTATTAATGTAACACATATAATCAATTAATATAATTTATAGTTAATAAAGTATAATATGATAAGCATAATCAATTAATGTAGTTTATAGGTAAATGCAAAATAAGGATATAAATGCTTTCAAATTATGATTCTCACACCTTGCTCAATGTCTTATGTCCATACAAGATAGTTAGAAATCCAAGACACAGTCTTGAAAAGGAGAGAGACCAAGTAAAAATGATGATAAATAAAATAAAGGTCTTAAAAATCTCATAATAATATGGCTATACCCAATTAAGCTGTTTGGGAAAATTAACAGAGATATAAATATGGAGAATTTCTCACACCTTGCTCAATGTCTTATATCTATACAAGATAGTTAGAAATCCAAGACACAGTCTTGAAAAGGAGAGAGACCAAGTAAAAATGATGATAAATAAAATAAAGGTCTTAAAAATCTCATAATAATATAGCTATACCCAATTAAGCTGTTCGGGAAAATTAACAGAGATATAAGTATGGAGAAGCATGTTTATGTATCAAGACCAATGTTTGCTTTCATTTGCATAGAATATTGACCCAGAGGTTAGAGGTAGACCAGGAGGCTACAGTACAGTGAGGAAGACTTAAACTAACCAGACCTAGCCAGGACAAACTTAGCCACTATGAGGAAAGAGCTCACTAGGGCCATTAAAAGGAATACTGATTTATATACCTGATTGAAGATTCTAAAGTGTGTTGATATGAAACTGTAGAGTTATGTAATTTGCCTCAATTGCCCTCAGTGTCATGAGTCAAGGAGTAGAATAGGACATGTGTCTGTTGATTCAGGATTGGGCATTTGGAGGAACAGAATGTAAGAGAGTAAAGAATTCTGGCAAGAGTGGGTAAGCTAGCGAGTCATGCACTAGACAACGGACTGAAGGAGCCAGCAGTGTACAACTTTGATGTGATCTGTGGCCTTGCTGATTTAGCATTTCATCTAGATGTGAACTTCACATAGTGCCCAATATGTGTTTGGCACTAAGCAACTGCATGTCACATAAGAACAAAAATAAACAAATTATTAAAAGGAGGAACTATGGGCCTGCATCCAGCTCTTGATGAAAACTTGTTAATACTCTATATGTTGCCAATAAGATCCTAAACTATAAAAATATTTTATGGTAAAATTATCATTAGGATAACATAGTAACTAGGTTCAACTCTGCTCCTAAGTTTCTGAACCTTGTGGAGTTCTGTGTAACTGGCCAGAAATATCTACCAGTACGGGGACCGCAATAGCACTATGGTTATAAAATATATTTGTTAGCATATAAAATTATGAACTTTCACATTTTATCCTTGAGTAGTGCATTATCTGGCTTTTGCCTCTGTATGTCATTGATTCTTTAACCACAATACTTTAAGATTGAATATTAAAATATCTGGTGTTACACTTAAATGACTTCATTGTTTTATTTGGAGTTTGATCCTGGTGTGTTTCCTTAACAATGTTAAAATGATTAATAATTTTCAGTAGGTGACATACCTAATCCATGCCTCTAAAAATAATTATGTTTATCATTGAATGATTTCCTGCTAAATCCCTGGTGTTCTGCTAACTCTTTCACTTAACCAATGTGTAATCCTCACAAGGACCCTACCATATAGGATATTGTCTCCAATTTACAGATATCAAAACTGGGGCTCATTCAGGCAGTAAAAATAACTAGCCTAATGTGCCACAGCAAATAAAGCGTAACACATGTCAAATAGTATCTAAGTCTTTTTCCCTTGCAGAGTCTATTTTCTTAATTCTAAATTAATGCAATGTACAATTGCTTAAAAAATGTGTATTACTATTTTGTTGTTCTGCGTGTTAACACTAGCTTTGAATCTATGTACCTTAAAAAACATCAGATTTGACTTTAAATTTTATTGTTGATTGAGAGTAAAGATTTTACAATCCCGTATTGCACACTAAGATATAAGACTCTGGAGTCTTTTCAGTTTGAACAGGAGAAAAAGCTGATAGCATTCTTCTAAAAGGCTGGAATCTCAGGACCATTTCTTGCTAAACAGTTGTCATTACATTTGGCCTCCTTCCTGATTTTCTGAAAAGATGGGTAGTAAATACTGGCCACTTGGCCATTTTGAAAATGCACTAAAACACATCTATCTAGGAGGTCATTATTCTAATTGCCCTTAGGATAGAATTGCCAGATTTAGCAAATAGATACAGGATGCTCACTTACATTTGAATTTCAGACAAAGAATGGATTTTTTTTAGTACAAGTATATCCCATTTAATACTTGGGACATACTTATGCTTAAAAACGTATTCACTGTTGATCTGATATTCCATTTTAACTGAATGTCCTGTATTTTATCTGAGAAACTTACCCTAGAAGCATGGCTTGACAGAGTCAGAGATCAGCATTGTTCAATTCCATAATTATAGATGAGCAGGGAAAACTGCCCTGGAAAAGCATATTTTCAAGCAGACATGAAATTCTTCCCAATTCTTAGGTGAAATGCTTCTGATTCCACTTGGGCAGACGATCCTGTCTCATAGGCTCATGGCAAACAAATGCTTGATGAATGGTTATTGGCCAAAGGCAGTACAAGAGAGGCTGGGGCGAGGCCAAATGGAAACTTAATGAATCCTTAAATGAAGAGGGGGTTAGGGGAAAGCAATTGGCAAGTAGTTCCTCTCATCCAGGAAGAAATTATGCAACATGAAATGGAAACATCTTTTCTTTAAGCCTCTTATCTTTGGGGTTTACTACAGTATACCCTTATTGTTTTTAAGAAGAGCTACTTGGTTAACATCTTTCTGTTTGGATTTGCTACAGTTTCCTATGGTTACAAGGTTCCCGGGGACCTTTTAAATGAATATATTAAAAGTAAGAGTAGGATTTTCTCAATAGGCTGATAAAAAATTGAATTAGCCCATAGTAATGATGTAGCCTTACGTTGTGTACTTCACAGTGAGTTTACTCACTTCACCTCAGAACAGATTGTTTTTCTTTCAATACCCTCAATCCAAATGTCAAAATGTAAATACAGTATACCTCTAAAGATCCATACATGAACAGGGAATTTTACATATTACTTCTGTCTTTAGAAAAATAGATCTAACTGTAGCACATACTAAAAGAAAATCACTCTGAAAAGGCTGAGTTAGGGAAGAAAGGATGCTTATAACCATAAATGAATATCTGTTTCCCCAAATAAAAAAGAATTAAAATGACAGCAAGAGTAACAAACATTCATTTTTAAAAGAAGGTGAGCTTTATTTGAATTTTACCTGACTGCTTCTTAATAATGCAGACATTTCAATTGTTCCATCTGGATAGTGAAACAAATGTTTCACTGAGGTCAGTGGAGTGAGTGGTATGTAACAGATATTTCGCTCTGCTCATTTGATATTCTGCTGGAATCTGGTGGAGGTAATTATGGGAAAGGCATTTCAAATTTTTTTGATGAAGCTCCTGATAGCATAATGTGGGTATATATTTTTATGAGTAAATGCAATACACTGAAAAAATCGCATTTAAAAAATGGGTAGGGTTTGAAACTGCGAGGCGAGATTATGTAATTTTGCTACCTCACACGTGCTCTGCCCTGTGGCCCATTCTTTCTGCATGTTGCTCTGCCCATGATACACCTATCAGCAGAGTGTGGCTAGTCTTGGGTTCTGTTGCCTGGCACTATTAAGTCCTCAGCATGTTGCCCGAGATGGTGGGAGCTCTGTAAGTGTTTGTTGACTGAATGAATACATGAATTATTAATTAAATCAATTGCATTCTGACTCTGTTTCTTTGCCAATACTGACAGTGTTTAGACTGCATGAGTAACCCTGGTTGTTGGTGAAATGTCCTTCTGCAGTGCCCAAATTTGAATTACAAGTATTTCCAGAGTAATTCATCAATAATGATTTTCTTTAGTTATATACCTCTGATCTCATGACATTGGTATGCTAACACAAGGTAGACAGACAGATAGATAGATAGATAGATAGATAGATAGATAGATAGATAGACAGATTCATCTGCTATAAATACACTACTTGGGTGACAACTATTTTCCTGAAGCTTAGCTTAAATGACTGTTCACTATATTAAATTGAGCATTTAATTATTAAAATGTGTTCATATTTACATTTGGCACCCCAATTATGTCCAAATATAATCTCTCACTCCTGGTCTTACACTATATGTGATATTAGATAAATTTGATTGTTTCCTCACTCTTGAATCACTTTTTTCACTTGCATTCTGAGATCTCACACTTTCCTGGTTTTTCTCCTACATCATTAGTTATTCTTTCTTGTTCTTTTTTTGCCAAATCCTTCCTCTCTTCTCAAAGTCTAAATGTCAAAGTTCTTTGTGACTCAATATTTGGGAATCTTTGGGTCTCTAACTACATTATTACCTAGATCAGAAGTTACAAAACTTTCACAGTTCTTAGTGCCTTTCATTTTTCAGTAATGGTTTTCAGACCACCCTAAGGCCAAAAGAAATGCCTAACTTCTATTTATTAGATAGTTAGGTCAAAATGCCTTACTAAGTATTTACACCCTGTGGTAGGCTGAATTATGGCCCCAAAGATATCCAGATCCGAATCCCCAGATCTGTCACCTTATATGGCAAAAGAGGCTTTACAGACATGAATAATTTAAGGATCTTAACGTAGGGAGATTTTCCTAGACTACCTGGATAAACCACCATATTCACAGTGGTCCTTAGAGGAAGGAGGAAAGAGGGTCAAAGGAGATAGAAGGTGATATGATGATGGAAACTGATAGAGTTTGAAGATACCATGCTGCTGGTTTGGAAGATGGATGGAGGAAGGGTTCATGAGCCAGGAATGCAAGAGATATAGGAAAAGGGAGGAAAATGGGTTCTCCCCTGGAGCCTCTAGAAAGAATGTGGCCCTGCCCACATCTTGATTGCAGCCCAGAGAAATCATGTCAGAGTTTTGACTTCCAGAGCCAAAAGAGAGTAGTTTGATGTTATTTTAAGTCACAAAAGTTGTAGCAATTCATTACTGTACTCATAGGAAATGGATATATGTCCTAATAGCCTCATAGTCATATTATAAATTACACAAATTTGAAAGAAAATATAATAGTATTCATATTTTTCACTAGTGCAATTTATGCACCTGTCGTGCACTACACAATTTCTCATATCCCCCAATCTAATTGGACATGGCCACCCCCGCTTCCTGTTCCACACTGATTTTCATGTAGTAGTTGCATTCTTATCATACTTCACAAAAATATGATATCATTGAAAGGAATGTGGTTCAAACTAATGTTGAAAATGTAAGCTACCTAGACCTCATATTTGGGCACTGACAGATACCAAGTGTTGGCATTTTTCTCTCAAAAATTTTTAACTATCCTGCATTGCTCCTGGCACACATTTTGGTACCAAGATCCTAGGTGATTAAATCTGGTACCATACTTTAAAATATTATCTGCATACTGATTTCCAATCTATTGTTTCTACCAGTAATCACTTCCTTGAAGCCTCAAGTTGTGTATCCAACCACCTATTCATCATCTCAACTTGGATATCTAAAGGACATCTCAAATATGTCCTTGACAGAATTGCTGTCACCTTCAAACTGCACCACTCCCTGCGCTGATCTCCACACCTCACAACCTTACCCCCCGCTCCACTTCCACTGGGGGTTTCTCCTCTCCGTCAATGGCATTCTCATTCTCATTCTGGCCAATTAACTCTGGCTAAAAATTTCAGTCTTCTTCACTATCTCTCTTTCTTTCACTGCCTTCTTGCTTCCTATCAGTAAATCCTGTCAGTGATGACCTATGCATTCCAAGCCTCACCTGAATCATGTCTCACCTGGATCTTTCCCATTGCCTTCCCACTGCTGATTTCCTTCTTATTCTCATGTCCAGAGTTGTCCTCATGTCGATCAGGCCCTGTAATTCTCCTGCTCAAAGCTCAAAGGCCAAGGACTTGGTAAAACTCATAGGATGAACATAAATCCTTTTTCATGGTCTGAAATAGTGATTCTCAACCAGGGGCAATTTTGCTTCCCAGAGGACATTTACCAATGTCTGGAGACTGTTTTGGCTGTCATATGGAGAGGGAATGCTACTATCTCCTTATGGACAGAGGCCAGAAAGACTGCTAAAGACCATACACCTCACAGACAGCCTCCCATAACAAAGAATTATCCAGCCCAAATACCAATTGCTCCGAGGGTGAGAAACCCTGGGTTACACAGGCCATGAGTTCTGGTCCTTGCCTAGAGATCTTACCTGATTTTCCACCACTGCTGCCTTTCATGGAGACTGACTTTCCCATTCCTCCTGCATGTCAAGCACTTTCTTACCTCAGGGGCATTGCCTCTGGTTTTTGTTTTGTTTTGTTTTGTTTTGTTTTGTGACGGAGTCTCGCTCTGTCGCCCAGGCTGGACTGCAGTGACGCGATCTCGGCTCACTGCAAGCTCTGCCTCCCGGGTTCACACCATTCTCCTGCCTCAGCCTCCCGAGTAGCTGGGACTACAGGCGCCCACCACCGCACCCAGCTAATTTTTTGTATTTTTAGTTGAAACGGGGTTTCACCGTGTTAGCCGGGATGGTCTCCACCTCCTGACCTCGTGATCCGTCCGCCTTGGCCTCCCAAAGCGGTGGGATTACAGGTGTGAGCCACTGAGCCCGGCCCGCCTCTGGTTTTTTTTTCCCCCTTGTCTAGAATGCTGTCACCCCAGATACGCACATTTTATTTTGTTTGGGCCACTCAAATGTCCCCTCTTCAGCAAGACCATTCCTGATCTTCCTATCTAAAAAAACTGAGAAGGTAGAGCCCCGTTCAGAAGCCTGTTCACATGAGGAAGTCGGGAGATTCCAGAGGAAACTCAGCCCAAAGGAAAAGAGATGTGAGCCAGCATGCATGGCCTCCTGGCCAAGGACTCTGAGAAAATTAGATTTATTCTGAGTGTAGCAGGGCTCTGTACTAGTCTGCTTTGGCTACCATAACAAAATACCTTAGAGTGGGGGACTTAAAACAAAAGACATCTGTTTCTCACAATTCTCAAGCTCAAAGTGCTCGCAGATTCGATCCCTGGTAAGGCCACTCTTCTTGTCTTGCAGACAGCTACATGCTCACTGGTCCTCACATGGCAGAGAGAGAGCAAGCTCTGATTTCTCTTCCTCTTCTGTTAAGGATATTAATCCCATCAAGGAGGTCTCACCCTCACAACTTCATCTAAACCTAATCACCCCCCAAATACCCCGCCTCCAAATCCCATAATGTTGAGGGTTATGACTTCTACATAGAAATTTTGAGGACTATAAACATTTAATTCATAACAGGGTATTTTAGATTTATCTTTAAGACATCATATTGGATTTACTAATGATTCATGATTTGTGCGTTTGTGTATGTGTGTGTGCGTGTGTGTGCAAGGTTATAGAAAGAATACAAACTCGGGTAACTATGGGGTTATTATGGAGTAAACTATAGAAACTACAAGTAAAATCATTTTTAAAAAACTACCTCACTACTATCTTATATTTTCTAATATTTTTATTGATCATAGATTGATTTTTTTTCTGAAAAAGGTCTGATAAAAATTTGTCAAAACCAATTAGTTATTATAGAAAAAATATATAAAAGTCCTATTTAGTGCTCTCAGACAACAATGTTATACAATACTTTCTTAATTGATTTTATGGAAATACTGTCTCTGGTTCATAAACTTCTTAAGTTCCTTCTTTAGAAAATGCATATCTGTTATCAGAGAAAGACTATAAAAAAAACATAAGTTTCTGTGACAACTTTAAATATAAGCCATAGGGTCGACTGGGTCAGCATTAAATATCGCCTCCCCACTTATGAGCTATGTGACTATGGTCCAGTTGTTTCATCCCCCTGTGCCTCGGTTCACTTATCTGTAAAGTGGGAATAATAATAGTATTTTCCTCATAGGACTAAAATGAAGAGTAAATATGTTAATGGAGGTAAAACAGCTTACAGTAAGAGCTCAAATAATCTGGGGTAACTATACGTCCAGGTTGCCTGAGACAGCCCTGGATACATTCTATCTGTCTTCCAGTTTATTTAAGAGCATTTTTTTAAAAAAAATTCTACAAAATGAAATGTTTGGAACATAAATTACATGTGTCAATTATATGGCACTCTGGCTATGAGTCTCATATTCTCCGTCTCTACCTCATCATCTGTAGACAGCAAGCTTTAGATCAGACCTCAAAAAAAATAAAAATAAAAAAAGACCTAACTGAGCAAGTACATTTTGAGTTGCCCCATGTGCCTAGTATTGGAGCAGAAAACATAGGGAATGCCTAAACATGGCCTGAAATTATAGCAAGAATATGTGGTACATAGGAAATAAAGCGAAATAGTATAGAGGGAAGAGCTAATGAGATTCAACCAGTAAGTGCTAAGGATTCTGAAAAGAAAGAGAACTTTGTGGGCTGGTGAAGAACAGAAAAGCTTCATTATAGTTAGGACGGGCAAGATGTGGAAGGAACAGTGAAGAGAAATCAGCAATGGCCCCGTCCACTCCTTTTGAGGGAGAGTTTCAAAAATATCCATTAATTGATAAAATAATAATTTGCATGCCAAGAAGAGATTATCATGCACTTCTTCTCATTTAGTGAGAATACTCACTTTCTTGATAAGAAACAAGGAACATAAAATGGAAAACGGGAATGCATGCTAACAATATTGGGTATAATAATACAAGAGTCATTTGTAAGAAAGCCCTTTCGCTGTTGCCAAATGAGTGTGGCAAGGCTATTGAAAGTTGCATTTATTTCTAATGTCAGCATTGGCAAAGTACAGCAATGTTTACATACATTCAATTAGCAATTATTGTTTACATTTGCACATTATACCACTAATGATGTATCCTTATTACTAAACTGAAATTCCTCTGTGAAATGCTGTAGAACTTGAACTTTGTAATAAAAGGAATAACAACATACAAATAAAATCCTGTTTATCAGGATACTATCCTTGTTTATAACTCGCATCTTGCTGGATGATTTAACAAATTTGATTTACACAGTGTTTTGTGATCCCAGAATATCCTAGAAATGAAGAATTGTGCTTAGCTCACCTCAGCAGGCTGCATTAGTTATCTTTAAGTCAATATATTGATTTGGGAATTGCTTGTTTATAAGATGTCAGAGACGACCGATTTATGTCGATATTTTTGTATCATATGTTCTAGCCAATCACAATAGGCCTGAGATATGCCATTATAAACTTTTTTTTTCAGCGACTGAAAACTACAGATGTTCTCAGATATCAAACTTGGATTTTCAGAAATTATCAATAGGCTTCTTTGTTTTACAAGTGGGACAGTGCTTCCCTGGTGGAAGGATGAAGTGAGTCATAGGGTAATGGTAACCAAATTTGCTCTACATAGTAAAGGTGCCCTGCTACTCCAGTAGGTAACGTCACGAAACAGAAGGTTTCAGTCCCTGAAGTATCTGACTGCCAATGATTTGAGACTCAGTAGCTGTATGGACAAGGAAGGTTGAAATTAGGATAACCTGCAATGGAGTCTTAATTTCATAGCTGATTCGATGTGTGGCTTCATATGTCTTTCTATCTTTTCATTTTCCAACAAATATCCTTGTGAGATATTTGTGCCCACTTGATTGATTCACTACCATAGAATGATAAGAAAAATGAAGAAGAGATGGAACACATTTAAAAAAAATGGTTATGCCCTCCTGTGGTTACCATTTAGAAATATATTTTGCAGAATGTCTGTTTTGAATGGAAGCCTGATATTTGGGCCTCGTTTGCCGGATCCCTCTGTAGATTGTATATCTCCTATATGGTTGGGGTAAGCCTGCCAAAGCTTTTCCTTCCTTCGTCTGCTAACCTAATCAAACATTTGCTCTCCTAAAACAAAGATGGAGCCAGGAATGTTTTTCTTATATTTCAATTGCCACTTGAAACTGAAGACTCAATTTCTCCTGGATCATTTCAATACCTCATTTATGGTTGGCATTTACCCGAATTCACAGGTTGTAAACGCTTTAAAAGTTACACTGAGTCCTTATGGAGAACAGGGGTTTCAGTTTCTGAAATGGAGCTGCAAATGTGCCCTACACTGTTCATGGCATACACCAAATCCAGTTTTTAATGGATCAGGTTGGCATCATTTAGGTATGGCATGGATGCAAAATGTTCCTGGAGCCCCCGCCCCCCCCCCCCCATCAAGGATACAATTGTTTCTAAGTTTCAGAGTTGAATGCTTCATTAAATGCTGGAGCATGTGACATAATGGGCTTCCCAATTGCTAACTTAATATTTAGCTTCCAAAATTCTGAGACAAACACCTTGATGCCCCCTCAGGTCTCCACAATTAGCCACATTTGCTAATCTTTCCCAATAAGTCTCAGTAGACAGAAAAGAATGCAAAGTTTTAATTTGCTAATCACCCAGTTGGAGAGGGGCCGTGGGGGGAGATGCTAATCATCTGCAGACATCTGTAATGACCCTTGGACAAAACCGAGGAAAACTAAATCAGAGCTTTGACAAGGGCAGGAGAGCGGAAACAGAAGCCCTAATTGTGGCCATGTGAAGTGCACTTTCCCGTTTTGTAGCTTTTGTAATAGAATTGCACAATACTTTATAAAGTAACTTTTATAGACAGACCCAGAAATGACTTTTTCCATCTTTGGGGATAAATGGTCAGACTTGATCTGTGAAATATGCGAAGAAGAACTGACATTATGGTGCAAATGTAGCAGACAAAAGGGTTTGGGCGAGCTTTTGCCGGTTAAATTTGGCTAACCTGCAGAAAGCCTATTGTCAAGCCAGCCATGCTTCACTGAGCTCTCTTCCCTCTTTATGGTTAAGTGAACCTCAAAACAATGACAAAGAAATATGCACTGAGTCACATATTCTAAGAAATAGACTGTACTCTCCTCAAATCGAAATAACGGCACTTTAATTCTTGGATTTTCCACATTTTCGTTGGTAAAGCTCCTATTTGCTTTCTCTGAATCTGTATCAGTTCATGCAGTTCTGCCAAGTGGGGAAGCTTTGCAGGACACTGCCACTGTAGCACTTGAAATATTAAGATGAACAGAACAAGCAAAAGGTAAGCTTACTTCCTTGCAGTATTTTGAGTGTCTGTTTCTTTGCTTGCAAAAGTTTACGTGTTCTTGATTGAGAGAGGTTTTGTTTAATACCCATCCTGATTCAAATAAACTACTCTTGTTACTGTTTTTAATAGCTGAGGTATAGAAGGGAAGAAAAAGAAAGAAAATGTGATGCCAACTCACTTATAAAACAATAAAAATCCATAGGTTTTGCACTTAAATATAGATATACACGGACATAATTGTCAGAGTTGAATTGTATTCTCAAATGGGAAAACTGGGAAAATGGTTCATGATTTTTCGTAGCTTCAAAAGTTAATTTTTGGATTATTTTTAGTGAACTTCTTTTTAAGAATGAGATTTAGGAAATTTGATAGAGAAAAAATAAGCATGGTCGAACATCAAACAAGCAGCCACTTATGAAAATATTTTCCCATTCTCCCCTGCTGCACTTTCTTGTGATTAAAATAACCTTTATAAATGGACATTTTAAAGAGTTTTAGTTTAAAATGGCCTCCAAAACCGGCCAAACATCAGAGATCTCGAATTTTTTGTTGGTAAAATTTGCTCAGTCAACTCAGGCTGACATTTAAGTAGTCCAGTAATTGCCCCTCCCAGAGTGGTGTCCTTGGGAGAGGGTCTAATGGAGTGGTGAATCTTTTTACTTGTCTCTTCCCACAGCAAGTTCTCTGGTTTCAGTGTTCCAAGTTCTCCAGTATTGAGTTTTTCTTGCTGGAGTAAAGGCAACCAACTTTCTCTAAAACACTTCCTAAAAGCTCCCAGTCAATAATTCCGTGCTACTCCCTCCATGGTCTTGACAGTTCCTCACAGGGTTCCTTACTGTTTTTCAGCCTCAGTTTTCTCATCTCAGCAGGGGTCTAGCAACCCACATTCTGATTTAGTAGTCTTTTACCATCTCCAGGAAATGCAAAAGCTCATTGATTGCTCCTGCTCTTTTTGTGTTTCCTACCTTCTCACATAGGAGTAAATGGAGTTCTTAGATGAAGAAACTCTCATGTTCAAAAACCTTTCACCTTTCTAGGAGTACCCACCCCTTTGGATGAACAAAAAATAGGAAGAGTCTATATGCATTTCAAAGGCTGCTTGGAGTATTTCTGTAATAGGAAAGGAACGCCTTAAAAAAAAAAAAACTTCTTAAAGATATGTAAAAGCTGCCAGATTCTGATTTTGTAGCAAGTTACTCTGCTTTCCTGGGAGTATATGGATTGTGAAAATTGATACAGAACTGGAAAAGAGTTCTGAGTAGAGCATCCCAAAAAAGTATGGCACCCATGTGACCAACGTCATCCATTTTTGAGGATGAAGGATCCAAACATAACATTCAGTGTTATCATGTTGATATGCTCAGTAAAGCGCCTTTCAATAAGTTAAATATAATACAGAGAAACTTATTATGGAACAGGGAATTATGTGGTTAAAATTATATCTACCAATTTCACTTGCTAATCTCTCCTAGGAAAGAAGTAGATTTATAGTGAAGTATAAGGGCTTCATGATGGCTTGCTGATGTCATGTTTAAACTCAGAGAACTTTGCCACAGAATGGCACTTCAAAACCTTTTCAAATACAGACCATAACAATAAAGAATACTCAAAATATAACTGTTTGGGAAGAACTGATAGGACTACAGATATTCACTAACGTGTAACCAATATGTATTTTTAGTGACCTTACTGTGGATATATGTCATTTTTATAAAGATTGGGGAGTTCTCTAATTTTTGAATTTGAATAAGCAACTATGAGGGAAAGTTTACAAAAATGATTCATAATTTATCTCTGTGGAATTAGAAATTCAAGGACTATTCTTGTAAACTTAGAGGATTTTCTGATGATTATTTACTTTGAAGTCTAAGATTCTGTTTGCTGATAATTATTAAAATGCAGTTTAAACAGTATCTTAGCTACAAATATGTGATAAATTACTATTTGTAGCTTTTATATTTTTCATTGCTTCCAACAATATCTGATAGTAATGTAAGGAAACTTTTGAAAAGGTACTATGAAAAAAATCTTAGGAATGATTTGTAACCCTCTAAAATGTGTAATTTCCATAAACATCAATTACTTCAAAACTTAATACATTCTTTAAATTTTTGGAACATAATTTATATTTCCCTTTCCATATCTGTGTACTCAATGCCCCGTGTGTGAGTGCTGTTAAGTTTATATATGGGGGTTAATCGAATCTGGAATGGAAGAAGGAGTTGAAAACGGAAATGGCTAACATATGTCAATTTTACATCTCAGTTAGATAAATCATTAGTTTCTAGGGAGAAAAAGCAATTAAAAAATTGGTGGAAATAAAAATATTGTGAAGACCGTGGTACTGCACTAGGGCTGTAGGCAGCTTCAACTATTGCTCTTAAGACCTCAAGTGTGGTGCATTCCTGCTCCCAGCTCCCTGCACACCGTCTGCAGTTACAATATTTTACCAGTTAAAAATGATCACTTTACTCTTTTACACTAAATTTCCAGATTTTGACTGTTTAATAAGTGACCTAAAATAATAACCTTTCATATCTAAAGTACTCTCCTAACTATGATCAACCTTTACCAGAAAATCTAATTATTTTTTGAAATAATCTAAATTACAATGAAACTTTAAAAAAGTGAATACTACTTAGTTAAATTGACATCTTATAGGTACATATATATTTGTATGTGGGTATACATATTTTGTGGAGTATATTTGTATGCGGGTATACTTATTTATTTATATGAAACCATTGCAGATGATATGCCTACATGTATATGATTATATGAATTTGCTGACACTGTTATCTCTTAAAGTTTCTCACACAAGTTTCCTAAGCTTTTAATAATGACTGAACACACAGCAAATGATCCAGAGCAGATTACTATTTAATTTATTTGCTAGGAAATGAATGGATCCACTTGTATTCAATAATTGTGATTGGAATTAAATTAACCTAGAATGAATAAGAGTACATCTTCTTTTTACTTTGTAACTAGTATGAAATTTCTCATGGATTTCATTCACTACCCTACTTTTATGAATTATATGACTATGATTTTATTGCTGTCAGTTTACACTAATACGATTTTTATATGTCAGAAATATATATAATATTGACATGAATGTAATATTAATCTAGCTATGCATTAAATATCTAGGTTCATATCTGATATAAAGACAAGAACCTTTCAAAGTTTGAAAGACTCTCATCTTCAAAACTGTACATTTTGTTTAAAAATGTTATTTATAATCTTATTAACATACTCCAATTATACATATGCTTAAATTGCATTAGCTAATGGTGAAGATTCAGACTTTTCTAAGTTTTGATTTGTCTATTATTTAATTTGAATTATTGATATGATGACATTGGAAAAAACATATAATTTATATTTTTGCTTTAGAATATTCACTTGTGTAAAACATTGAAAAATAATAGGGGAAACCATCTATCCCCAACATATACATAGTTGTAGATAACTATGCACCCTTGCCTTTTAACAAGTTATATGTAATACAGAGAAAATTTATTATGAAACAGGGAATTATGTGGTTAAAATTAACTGAAAAGTAATTTTTGTTTCATGGAACCTGACTTTCCTTACTTTTAACTTTCATATGTATTTTGTCTTTCAAAGAAGGCCTACTCTATGCGGTATTTAAATGGTCTAATTCAGCTTCCTTTAACCTATTGTTCATTTATTTTATTCAATTTATTTTTATAATTATTTTATAATTAAAATTATTCTTGCTCTATGTGAGAGTGTTATAACTTGAGTAAAGCAAACACGAACTCAAAGAACAACATTAACTTTGGACTGAAACTAATCACGGAACATTATAATCTTGAAGTATGATTCCTAAGGAGGTTATTACGGAATGAATAAGTTGATTATGATGGAAATTTTCCTCCTGGTGTCATTCTGGTCCTCACTTGCATACAGTGCAATAGAACTTCACTAGCACTCATGTTCTTCAATATTTGCTGGTGTAACAATTCACAATTGAAGTCTCAACAGTGATGGTAACACTTAAATGAAATTGTTCTACATAATTTCATGATATATGAAAGAGATTAAAATAATTAAATTGCTTTAATATATCCCATTAGTGTTTGAGATATCTTGATTCACATTTTCTTTTAAGCCATAGAAAGTGCAGTTTCTGTCCTAGTAAAGCAGCATTTCATGAAGTTGGGGGTGGAGAGGGGTGACTCCAGATGCTGAGAGAGAGGGTGTTGGGGCAGCGAGACCAGAGCTGAGGTGGAATAGAGTCAGTAAAGGACAGTGACAATATCTAAATTTTTATATGAATCTGTGAGTTTGAATTAGGAGAAATCTTACATGCAAACTTTCATTTTACATTTAACTGTTGCTCAAAACCTAGAGAGTCCATTTTAAGACCAAAAAAAGCCTGTTTTACTTCTTAATTTCTATGCTTTGAGAACTCAAAATTCAAGGAAAACATACAAGAACTAGTCCTCAAAATTTTTCTGAGATTAATTGACAATTTCAGTGTTATTGCCTAGTGACTGCACATCTGAGCAATGCTTAGAGTTGGAACAATATGTGTTCTTCATTTGAAAGGGGTTCTACGGTGGTAACTTGTCTCCTTTTTTATATAGATATATTACAATTGAGTGGCTTCTTGCTGCTACTGTAATTTAGATTTATAATCAAACCACTGCACCCATATTAGAGTGCAATTAATTACATGGTATCAAAAGGAGAGTGAACATAAGAGGAAACTGAGAGAGAAGTAAGTTGCTTCAACGTGGGGAGAAATGATGAAACCTTATGGTACTCTATTCTGTGAGTATGGCTTTGCCCAAGAATGTAAAAATTGCTATGGTTATTCACTGACAGGATCTTGTCCCTTTTACAACACCAGAGTCTGTCTTGAGAGACTTTGCCAAATGTACCCTGCCCAGAACTCCAAAGGCTAGGAACACACTCCCAATCACAGTCAATAGCATTAATAACCCCCCTCCCCATGAAATCATTATGCTAAATGCATCCAATTCTCTTCTGAAGACATTTCTATTTCTAATTCTATTCATTACTCACATGGCAAAAAGCAAAGTTATTTTAAAATCCAGCCTCTGTATGGCTGTATGGTAGAAATTGATGAGGCACACAATTTTTCCAAGTGGATATATTTTTGACATTAAAATTATTTCTTTAAATAAGAAACGTTTATAGGAAAAGTGAACTCAGTTAGACGGACTCAATTTAGGTAAAGAAAACTTTGTGAGCTTTGCTCTGAAAGATTATTCATATTTGACCATGATGGGAGGCTGTTCTCTGCAAGGCTTTCTATATTTGTACGATGCCCTTTCTAGGAATATGAGCAGGAAAGGAATTTCACACATCTTTCATTCCATTCTTCGGATAACAGTACATTTCCATGATACTTTGCAACATTTAATGTTTTACAACTACCACAGAAGGGTTTTTTTTTTTAAATAAAATTAGATTTGTAAAAATAGGGTAAAAAGAGCTCAACATGTGCAAGCTATGCAGCAAATAAAGTAATTTCCTCTAAGTCTGTGATATTGCCACTTACCTTAGCAGTCTTGATTCTCCTTCATGATGGCAGTTGCTTAGGACTTAGAGCCACAGAAAACATAAAATACCTAGGGGACATATTCCAGTACTGTACATTAAATTTGAGGATTTTACATGTGATAAAGTATGTCAGTGTTGCTTACAGGGAATTCCAGTGATACCTCAGCTTTCTTGGACTTATTATAAATCCTTTGTTGGAATTATTGTGGCTGGTTCAATAATTCAGATTAGCCCTCATGTTTATTAATGCACTACATCTGTGCAAACAACATGTCAAGCAGAGAGTTTATTGTAATTGCCTGAGCAAACAGAACCTGAAAGAAGCAATTTCCAGTTACAATGTGCTATGACAAGTAATGAGGTAATTGGCATTCTGTCCTGATTACTTCCACCTTCTTTTTCATCAGGTCTATATTGTGTGTGATAGATAGTTTTATAAGAAATGAAGGTGTTTGATAATATGGTTCGCTGCTGCTTAAGGTTAGTGATTAAAGACAATCATCATTTTCTCTCAGAGATCTTATTAGCTTTAACATTATTTATTCATATGTGTAAGGATGTGCGCAGGACCCAACTTCTCAGTGCACTGCATGCCGTTAAAATGTAAACACAACTGCCACTGAGTGAATGCAGAGCATGTTCTAGGTTTCCAAGCATGATGGGACACAGTGACTTTCTGCAAATGAAATCTCTGTACTAACAGTGTGTGTTAGAATAATGGCTTCGAGCTGCATCTGTATCCAACATTCACCTGCTTTAGAATAACAGAAGCAGCATGATATTTAAGGGCAAGATGGTAATTTGATGCTGAATCCTCATTTTTGTGATTTTATAACTTTCTACAGACATTACCCTTTGCTTGCAGCCTGCAGTGAGGAAAAAAGATGAAATGCATCATGATTCCAAACCCATCATTAATAGTTTAGAAAGTTTAGGAGTCCCAGTCTTAGAAAAAGAAAGAAATTAGGAAATAAGCAGAAGTTACTTCAGGAAGAAAGAAGAAAAACTGTTGTATTTTTATTTCAAAGAAAGGTTTTCTTCTTAATTTATACCCGTTGCTGTTGACATTTTCAAATCTATCAAGAAATTTAAAAAAGCAGTACCTTTAGATGAAGAAAATGCCTGGAGAATAATGCACATTCACTCTTTTTGCTCCCATCATTTTAAAGCTATCTTTAGATTGGTGTTTTCCCTGCTACTGACCTCCTATCATTTTCCAGGTTTCACCCTAAGTGCCCCTTCCTGACTGCCCTGGCTATGTGCTCTCAAAGCTCCCACCATCCTTCATGTCACAGGTCAATAGTTGTTTACATATCCATCTTTCCAGCTAGACACTATAAACTACATATGGACAGGATCCTGTCTGCTTACTTGGAAGGGCTATAGCTGATCGACAGTGATCTCAGTATTGAAATTGTGCTGTCCATAGTGAAATTCCAGTTCTGCCCCTAACAGGTGACATAAACTCAGACAAGTCTAAAAATTTTCTTAAACTTTATCAACCCATTTGAAAAATCAGTCTAATAATTCTACATTTCTCATAAATGCCATTGAAAAGATCCAATATCAAGGGTGTTAGAACAGTGCCTGGCATGCGTCAAAGAAACTCAGTCAATATTTCAGACATGGATAAATGTCCACTTGACAAAACTCATCTTCCAGGTCTCACTTTCTAGAATGCCCCATTTTTCCTAGTATTAATAAGTCAAGCAAAATCAAGCAGGAAATGCCAATCTATTCAGCCATACCTTACATTCTGAATGTACTCAATTCTATAAGATTGCTAATAGGAGACATAATGAAAATGGGGGAGTGGGTACACGTAGAGAAAATTGGTATAACTTTTATGGTTTATTTCCTTAAAAAGGCCCAGAAGGGCATTAGATCTTTCAGAAGCTAGTGGAACTCATCCTCACAGTTGGTAAGCCTAAGAAATCTTCAGACACTCATGACCTACCTTTGACAAGATTGTGGGCTACACTACAACATTCCAGTCTTCTAGTTGGAGAGGGACTCTCAGTTCCATACCCAGCACAAAATGAATGAAGACCTGCAGGAAAATTCCTATTAAGTATCCCATAGTCAGAAACTGATGACATTCCACATATTCTGATGGGAGGCCCCATAAAGTCACTATTGCTAAAGAGAATTCTTCCTCTAATCCATTTGCAAATTCCAGTACCAACCTGTGCTTCAGTCCTTGTGCTTACATTTTTTTCGTTGTTTTAAAGTGTGGATAGCTTTGTAAAAAAATATCCAGGGCAATTGCTTATGCCTCAGGAAGTGGAGAGAAAGAAAAATAGTGCTGGCACACAGAGAAGACTGTGAGTCTGGGACAGAGCTGTAAGGAAGACAGGCCATGGTGAGCAGGAGCAAAACACCACACTGAGACAGGACCTCTTCAACTCCTCATTTTCTTCTTTGTTTTCTTCATTTTTTCTTTACTTTATCAATATTTTTGAAGGCATATTATGAGCCAAGCCCAGTGTCCAGCAAGAGTAGCTACCTACAAGCCCTTGTTGAAAGAATGGATAGCGGGGTGGATAAATTGATGAGGGCTGTGCCAGGTGTCTCTACCTGGATTTCCTATTAGTTACAGCAGACACTCTGGGGAGAAGTCCCAAACTGTATTTAAAGGTAACAGCAACCATTTATCCAAATGCCATGTGCTTTCTTACTTGTGTCCACCTTCTCTGATTCAGAGTAATAATAACCATCTAACTTGGAGATGGCAAGCCTAGAAAGGAATCATTCCATCACGATTGCAGGATTAGTGGTTCAAAAAAAAAAAAAACTTATATCCCCACCCAAAAAAATGCACTTTCTACTGAAGAGGACACTTTATTGAGTGTCCCCGATGTAGTAATGGAAAAGCAAGCACCCAGCACTAACTCTTGCCTGAGAAACTGAGGGGCATCTCCACAGAATTGAGGCCTATTTCATGCTCTGGTCTTCAAAATCTTTGATAACATCTGATGCATAAGGTGACAGAGCCGACAGAAAGTCCAGAAAACTTTGGAGATTTAGACAGATATAATTAGTCAGAAGTAGTAAAGATTTGTATTAACTAATTTACAGAGCCTTAACTTTTATTTCTTCCAGATGAGCTTATGTTATGAACTTAATGCTAAGTACATTCCAGAGGAGGGAGAATCAAAGGAGAGAGAAGGGTAAAATTAATTAGTGCATTATTTATTTAGTTAGTTAGTTTAAAACCTAGAAAAGGCAAAAAATGCCGTGTGCAAAAGGTTTAGGTATTTCCATAGAGTGAGGTTGACCCCAGGCAGCAGTAGCATCTAGCACTTATGTACCACTCATTTTGTATCAAGATGTTATGTCTATATTTGATATTTAATTTTCACACAATATTCTGAAAATATTGAAACTAAGAGGTCACACAGGTAAAAAGAAAAAAGAACTTTGTCCATCCCCAATGTCCATGCATTTTCTACTATTCATCATTTTTACTCAGGGGACTTGTTAGAAAACTAGAGAAATAGGCTATACATAAAGGATTAGGAGGTGGAAAAGCAACGACCGATTTGTTTCTGTAGAGGTCTTGCCCAGATCAACTCTTGGTGAGGATATGAGAAGCGGCTGTGGTGCTGGTTGAGGAGGTGAGCCAGGCTGGGGCCTTCTCTGGAAAGCGGCTGTGAGTCCGGAGTGCAGGGAGCTTGAAAGCAGAGACCCAATGATTCCAACAGAAAGGAAGTGAGCAAGAGGCCAGGAGCACAAAGAAGCGACCTTGCCTAGAAGTAGCTCTGTAGCAAGAAAGGGCACAGACTTGACCTCACAGATCCTGAAGCCGGTATTGATCAGAGAAAGGTCTGCAGCCTCAAGAATGGGCTGTCCTTTGAGCTCAGTCGGCTCCCGAGTGCAGAAATGAGCCTGAAAGGACATGGAGTGCCATTGATTACAGGGTGCATGTATCACTGCAGATTTGGTGGGATTTTAATTTCTGTGAAAATAATAATTTAAAAAGGAGTAGCACCCCTCCCTCACACAGGAAAATTGCATGAAGGAAAAAATAATACGTATATATAATTTTAAATAAATATAAGAATGCATTTTATTAGTTGAAATTTACATGTACCCGATCCAGCTAAAAAATTAGTAAAAGCATGAGTGCTGGCTGAGAGCTTCAATAATTAGGATCATTAGTGAAATCATGAACTAAAATTATATGTATACCTTGATATTCTTCTTTCATTAAAGCCATTAGTTTTCTGTGACTAAGTAAAAGGTACTTTTAAATATATTTTAGGTGCACGTTAAAATCCAATAAATCTTTCCAATGCTAAAGCCTTCAATCAAGATTTTTCTTTAAAGATGGTTAGTTGTGTCCATAGAAGTACAAAGTCATGGTTCATGAGCTTACTAAAAATTCTGTTCTAACAGAGGTATTACCTTGTTATAATAGTTAAAAACAGCATTATTTTAGGTGGCTACGTATAGATTTACCTAAGGATACAGCAAAAAACAAAACAAAGCAAAAACCTATACAGATAATCAGACTTAAAATAAATAGCCAAATAACCGAGTTGCCAAAATAAAAGGACTGTTTTTACGCCTACTTTTTCATTCATTCATTCATTTGTTCATTCATTCGACAGATATCTTCCAGTATATAAGGAAGTTTGCTATATGACAATGAAGAGATCAATGGTCATCTGTACCCTTTATCACTCATTCGTGCATGTCTACTTAGCCCTCAAATACTTACAAAGTCTGTTTTCTTCATAATTCTCAAATGATGTTCTCATTATATATTTCCACATCCACTGAATTAGGAAGTCATCATTTCTTGTCTAGAATTGCAGCCGCCCCTTAACTAAATTACAACTCTCATAGCAGAAGAAAGGAATAGGATTAAAAGATGGCATGGGGCATTTGAACAACATGTAATTCATATGTCTGTGTAAGTGTGGAAAAGGTATAATACCTTCCTAATCCATCATAAGAGTCATGGTTGATAGTACTATAACAACAACAACAAAAAAGTTAACAAAGAAAGGCATAGCAAATTTATTTCATCAAAGTTTTACATGACACAGAACGCTTAAAAGTGAAGACCCCAATAATTAGGAAAAACTGTTTTTATGCTTAGGTTCAATGAAGAATGGGCAGCTATGTAGGGACAAAGGGTATGATCTAACAGTAATCCAGTGAGGAGAGAAACCCAGCAAGGCCTATCTGCTCAGACTCTTCTTGGCTTCTGTGTAGCATTTCTTCCTTCCAGGTATGAGGCAGGACCCCTCTGAAATGCGGATCTTCAAAGGAAACAGGAGAAGAAAGAGAGTGACCGTTTAGGTTTTATGGCTTGTTTAATGTTCCAGTTTCTATGACCCAACTTACGAAAGAGGAATTCTGGTTTCTACGAATGCTTCGGGGAAGGAAGATGAGCAGGAGGCTGGTTCTGAGGCCTCTCTATCGCCTGTAGTTCAAAGTACTTAGCACACCAAAGTGCCACAATTTGGGGTACATTTTCTGAGCCCAACAACTGGAAATAGGTAGACAAGAATGTCTAGTGGGTACAGCAGTATCTAGAGAGGTAAAAGGGGGCAAAATTATCTAGTACCAAGTTGACTAAGTCAAGGAGTTTATATCCTATTTTGGACAGCATAAGAAAACATGAAAGGTTTTAAACAAGGGAAAGACATTCTGTGATTTGCTTTTAGAAAGTTTAGCCAGTGGATCTTGGGTTATATGAAGGGCTGTTTAATTTGTAAAGTACCATACAAACTCAAGGTATGACTACTGTTATTTTTTCTTACTAGTCTAACACTCTTGAAATTAGGCATACTGTTCTTTGTATTATTTTATATTGTTTTATTGCATTTTATTTTTGTATTCCTGGCATGAGTTAAAGCATATAGCACATATTAAGAGAACAAAATAAAAAAGGAAGATCCTTACCTCATAAAAATCAGTTAAATATGCTTAAAACCTAAATGTAAAGGGGAAAACATTACAACCTTTAGAAGAAAGTATAGAATGTTTTTAGGTCCTCAGGATGAAGGAGTTTATATATAAAGCACAAGATGCACTAAATTAAAGGAAAAGTCTGACAACAAATTACCTTAAAATTAAGAACCTCTATTCATCAAAAGACTACCATAAAAAAGTAAAAAGAAAAAGTACAAACTGACAGTGGATATTAGCCACATACATAACCAACTAATATTCAGATTCTATGAACTCTATTAATTAAAAAATTAATAGAGAAAAGGGCAAACAATATAATAGATATGGACTGGAGGAAGAAGCATGAAGAATCAATAAATATATGTAAAGTCATTTGATCTCCACAATAATTAAGTAAATTAAATCATAATAATATCCCACTTGCAACCTCTAGATTTTCAAGAAAAGAAAGGTAAAAGTCTAACAATAACAAATATTGGCAAGGATATAGAAAAACCAGGGACTCCCAAAGCTGCTAGCATTGAGAATGGCACTGAAAATTGGCATAACTTGTGTGTGAACAACTTGGCATTATCTAGTTTACTTGACCTTCATGTATCCTATGATCTAGCAATTTCACTCCTGGAGAAACTCTGGCACACATGCATCACTCAACATGTAAGAAAATGTTTATAGCAGCACTGTTTGTCAGAACAGAAGTAACTAACTCACTCAAGTAAATTCAAATGTATTTCTACAATTATATAATGGAATGAAATATGGTGGTGAAAATGAGTAAACTGGAGCTACATGCAACAAATATGAATCTTAGTTACATCATGTTGAAAAATCACCAAGTTACATTTTAGACTTTATTACTAAAGGTAATAATTAGGTCTTAAAAATAAAGTTAAGAAATAATAAATAATACATTACATAGGAGTATGTCCAAGCGTGATAAATCCATAAATAAAAGTAATAGTTTTTTTTTTTAAATACAGGATAATGTTTACATCTAAGGGAGAGACAAGAGTTTGGGATTTGACAGGAGAGAGCTACAAGAGATATAAATGGTAATGCTAAGATCTATTAAAGAGATATAGTTGCTGACATTTGTTAAAGACAGTAAGACAGAATTTATTCAATAAGAGGCCATTTCAGTAGGTATAGGGACCATTGCAATGGGAGAGAGATTGGATTAGGCTCTGAATACAGCACAGGCATGTAGGAATGTATAGCCAAGTAACAGGGTGGGGATCAGTGGATAGAATATTACCAAGGGGAAACATCAGGAGTAAGAGGGAATTCTGGCAAAACCAAACAAATAGAATTTTCTCTGAAGACAAGCCGGGGTGCAGACATCACATGGGAGGTGGTGGAGGATGAGGAACCTGATTAGATATCGAGGGTGATCAGATATGGAGGATAGGAGATTCTGACTTAAAAACTGACTTAGGATTCTTACTAAAATTGGACAGTGCAGAAATGAACACAAAAGTCCAAAAGTCAAAAGCTACTTGAAAGAAAGTTCAGAAGAGCCTGAGTAGAATTTGGTCTAGAAAAGAATCTTTGCTGGATTCAATTTCTGAAGTTGGGTATTTGTTTCAGAGGCGTTTGCTTTATTATTATGCTTTATAAGGTATATGTATGACATCTATATTCTTATGCATGTATCAAATACTTCCCACTAAAACATATGAGAATAAATAATTAACAAATAATTCCATTAAAATAAAAGTCATGTATAGGCATTTCTCAAAAGAAGATATACAAACACCCAACAGGCATATGAAAAAGTGCTCGACATTACTTATCACCAGAAAAATGTAAATCAAAACCACAAGAGATATCATCTTACCCCAGTCAGAGTGGCTATTATTAAAAACACACACACACAAAAACATGTTGGTGAAGATATGGAGAAAACTCTCTCTAGTGGTGGGAATGTAAATTAGTACAACCACTATGGAAAACAATATGGAGATTTCTCAAAAAACTAAAAATAGAATTACCAGTTGATCCAGGTAACCTACTACTGGGAATTTACCCAGAGGAAAAGAAATCAATATATCCAAGTGATACCTGTACTCATGTGTTTATTGCAGCAAAATTCACAATAGCAAAGATATGAAATCAGCCTAAGTGTTCATCAGGTGATGAATGGATAAAGAAAATGTGGTGCATATATGCATATACACAATGGAATACTGTTTAGCCATGAAAAAGGACGAAATCATGTTATTTGCAGCAACATGGATGGAACCAGAGGTCATTATGTTAAGTGAAATAAGCCAGGCACAAAGAAATATACCTTAGATACCTCGTGTTCTCATTCATATGTGGGAGCTAAAACATTTGATCACACACAGGTAGAGAGTGGAAAGATAGAAACAGAGAAGTGAGTGGAGGGAAGAGGAGGATGAAGATAAGTGGATTAAAGTGTAGAAACATACACCAAACCAGGAGGAATAAATTCAATGTTTGCTAGCTGAGGAAGGTGACTATACTTAACAAAAATGTATTGTTCTTAGGTGATAGACACCCTAAATACCCTGATTTGTTCACGATGCATTCTATACATGTAACAAAATTTTTCATGTACCCCATAAATTTGTAAAAATAAAGATAAAATCATAAAAGGAAAAATCTAAGCAAGCTTCTTTTTAAAAAATAACAATTTACAATGTAGAAAAATAGTGAATGAGTGCATGATGCTCAATGTTAACATCAAATAAATTAAGCAATACACAAATATTATCACAATGGGATCTGAGATGCGGAAATACATGCATAGGTTATGTTTCAAATTAAGAGCAAATTCTCTAGGATTTATCCCACCATCTTCTTCCCACCACTGTGTTGGTTTTGAGTGTCATCCTTTGGCTGAGGGCCCCTCTACAGCTTTCCCCTCTTCTACTCCCTTCCTGTAGTTCAGACAACACCTTGATCACAAGCTCAACTATATATTGTGAAACTGATCATTATTCCCTCCTTGAAACCCTTCAATAATCCCATGGCTCTCAAAAAAAGTCCATGCTCTGTAAAATACCACATGCTTTATTTTCTTACATAATCCATTCCTTGTGGCCTTCTGACTCCTTCATCTTCCCTTTCCTTGCTACTGTCCACTGCTATCTAGGTGCTAGGTACAGTGAAAACATTAGGGAACACTTATACAACCCATCCTATGTCCCAGATGCCCCTCCAAGCACTTTATATATGTTAGAGTCACAGCAATCTTAAGAGGTACACACTGCTTTGTTTTCAGTATTTGACCCCTCCAAAACTCATGTTAAAACTTAATACCCCATGTCACAGTAGTGAGAGGTGGAGCCTTTACAAGATTATTGGGTCACAAGGGCTGTGCCCTTAAAAATGAATTAACCCATTCATAGATTAATGAGGTAAGGAATTAATGGGTTACTATGGGAGTAAGGCCTGCGGCTCTATAAGAAGAAGAGAGACCTGAGCTAGCATGGTCAGCCCCTCTCAGTGGCCCTGTGATGCCTTGTGCTGCTTTGGAACTCTGCAGAGTCCCTACCAGCAAGAAGGCTCTCACTAGATGCAACCACTTGACGTTGGACTTTCTGGCATCCATAATGGTAAGAAATTAATTTTTTTTTCTTCTCTTCTTTTGTTTGAGACAAAGTCTTGCTGTTTCACCCAAGCTGGAGTGCAGAGGTGCTATCTTGGCTCACTGCAACCTTCGTCTCCCAGGTTCCAGCGATTCTCCTGCCTCAGCCTCCCAAGTAGCTGGGATTACAGGCACACACCACAACGCCCAGCTAATTTTTGTATGTTTAGTAAAGATGGGGTTTCACCATGTTGCCCAGGCTGATCTCAAACTCCTGGGCTTAAGCAATCCACTCACCTCGGCTTCCCAAAATGTTGGGATTATAGGTGTGAGCCACCATAATTACAAGAAAATATAATTAATATTTAAAATTTTAAATAATATTAATTAGTTAATTGTAATAATATTATTAAGTTGTAATCAGGTATTCTGTTATAAGCAATCAAAAATGGACTAAGACAATTACTTATTATTATATTAATTTTACATTGAGGAAACAGATCCAGAGAAGTAGATTGTCCAAGCTGTAACAGCTAGTTAAACAGCAGGGAATGGAATGGCTGGCCCTTCATACGTGACGCTTTTTTCCTGCCTGATTCCTGCTTCTTCATTCAGACCCACGTCAGTCACACTCTCCTTTGTGAATCCCACCCTCCAACCACACCCCGTCCCTACGACTAGAGTTGATGTCTTAGTGTTCCTGCGTCACCTGGTACATGCTCCACCACAACACAGTTCGCAATTGCCCCCTTGTTATTTCACCATTACCATCATCAGAACATTGTCAGTTGCTGGCACACAGTAGTACTCAATGCATATTGACTAAATTCATGAATGAGTAAAGGCATTTAGCTAAATAGTGATCAAATCCAAAATTTACAGAGTATTTCTTTTATGTCTTTATAAATATTACTTTCTGTATTTCTCCTTGCTAATTGATTCTTAATATTATTACACTCTTATTAAAACAGGAGTTAAGCATTTAGAAGCCATGCAAACAAGTAACATTCAAATGTGTGATTTACTACATTTATATTAAATTAAGAGTTATTACAATCACAATAAAAAAAATAAACTTGAAATAAGAACAAAAATGAGCTCCTAAAAGTTCTCTAGAATAAATGTTGGAGAAGTCTGTATTCTGCAAGTAAGTATGGTTTTAAATAATTTAATTCATTAACTATGGCAAATTGAACCCTTTTAGAGAATTAACTGATCACCTCCAGCTGTGGACTAAAGGGTTTAAGATTACACCACCAGGGGATAAATAATTTCATTAGTCAGTCAATTTCAGATCTCTTTGATTGGGCAGCTTGTCTGCTGTCCCTGATCAAGGAGCTTGGCTGACTCTGGTCCATACGAGGTACCATCAGGAACTGGGCTGAGAGAAGTTAGGAATCAGTCAACTCTAACAGAAGTTACGGGTAACAACCATCATGAATAAGGAGATAGAAACCTGCAGTGTAAGTCACATAGCTTTAGACATGATTCATTTACAAGTACTTTCTACAATTTTAAGAAGAAATATTATTTCAACTGTAGAATTCAGTGATTTCAATATTTTCTGAAGCAAAAAATTACCAATTCTTTCAAGATCCAGGACAATTCCACCAAGGCTACCTGTTGGCTATGAAATGCAGCCCAGTCTTCTTGTGTAGGGGGTACAAAAATCATGAAAATCAGGTTCTCCACTAGAGTAGTCTTGTGGTTATTCTGGAATTAACAGGTACCCTAGAGATACTTCCTTCAGGGAAGCATGTGGGTTGTGAGGTGCTCTTTGCAAAATCATTAAAACATGGAGAAACCAAAAAAAAAAAAAAAAAAAAAGAAGAAGAAAAATCAGTCTCTTGAGTCTTTCATTTATTATTTGATGCCAATAAAGTAATGGAATGGCTTTTTCTTCCCCCCTCCCCTACCTTACTTCTCATCTCCTCCTCCTCTTCCTCCTTCTTTATCAGGAAATGTAATTTCTTAGTTGTTGTGTCATGTCCAAATTGCCCGGTATGATGGTATAGCAAGCAATGGAAGAAAATGAGGTGAAGAGGAGAATGAAAGGATATTGGTAAACATGAGATTTTGTAGAAAATATCTAATTCGCCCAAAAGTGCCCACTGGAAGAAGTCAAGCAGGTGGGGGAGGGAGGCAAGGAGGGATTGACCATCATCTGTGCTCACACGTGCACCAACAGCTGGGCTAATGGGAGATCAAGAGACCACATGATTGCAGAAGGAGATCAAGCCAGTACATCAACATGACCTGCAGACTCCTGAGCCCTATTTGAAGAAACTCATTTGCAAATCCCTCAATAGTTTCATGCCTTCATAAGGCGTTAAAGTGCTCCATCCAGGATGGAGAGGTCAAGAAGGGAATCCAGGTGGGAAGCATGTGTCAGGAGCGCCTGATTATGTCTGATAAAGAAGTAAGAATCACTGGTAATTCTATTTAAAAACATTATATCAAAGCATCAAATACTGTTTTCTACAAGTAGATCATTTAGAGATTAAAATAAATCATTTTTCTATTTAAGATATTTTTAGGATTTCTTCATTTTTACAATGTGGACTGTAAACTAAGTCCTTCAGCAATCTTTATTTTTTCTTTAATATTTCTAGACATGTGACCCTATTAAAATTAGAATAACATCATCAAAAAATCTTTATTGTGTACCTACCAGGTGCATGACTCTTTGCTGAGGCAGAATTTATAACTATTTATAGTGTAATACTGCATATAATGTATTTTTTAAAGCCCAAAGATAACTGTGCTGCCTGCCTGTGTTGTCAATAATAGAAGTTCATGACATTTGATTTGAGTCTTTGTGAGAGGCAATGTTATTCTCATTTAATAGCTTCCATCTGCTCTTCCCATTTTCATTGCTCCTTTTACAGTTTCCAAATTCCACCCTGTACCCTCCAGGGAAATTTTCTCAAGCATTGATTCTATTCATCTATGAATTGGAGGAGGGGGAGGGTTCTTCTACAGCCTTATGGTTTTGTTTATTGATCTTGATTGTGAGGCAACTTGTTGACATGCATACACTTGCTTTTTTATTTTATATACATACATATATATCTATGTATGTGTGTATGTATACACACATGCACACACATATCTGGTGTTGATAAGTGCTTAGTAATCTTAATGATTTAGCTCCTAAACAAAACTTGGTGTTGAAACCTTCCTTTACAAAGTAAAATAGGGGAACATTCCATGAATAAAAATGCATAGAAGAGAAACTCCTCCTATATTATTAATCCATCACCAAGCAATTTTTCCCTGTTACTATAAAAAGAAAAAAGTATGTTAAAAGTTTACTTTTTTGACTTAAAAGAATGTGAATCTAAAGCCTTATTTACAATTATTACAATATATTGCAATGTTAGTCAAATATAAAATATTAACACAAATTTAACACATTTGGGAAGGTTTATAGACATACTGGCCACATGTGGCATTATTTTAAACTTTTTCATTTTAAAAGTAGGTATTATTTTCAAGTGAATAAAATAATGTAATTCTGTCTTGACATTATATACCATCAAATATTATACTAGATTTCTGAAGTCAAAAATTGAATACAGAATATTTTTACTCTACTATCATCAAGGTTTTACAAATGTGTTTATCCTCAGACAAATAAAGAATAAAAATATTTTACAAATACTCATCATAAGCATGATTCATAATTATTATAATATGTTTTATCATTATTTTTTGAGAAACTGTGTTTTATAGCTTAACACTGAAATGCTTTCAACATAAAAATCTCAGATGGGGAGACTAAGGAAAAGTTTCAGTAATCTATACCTTTAGTATAGAACTTCCCATACTTATTGGCCTCAGAATAGGATAAATATTTTTTAGATAAACACTTTGGGGAAATTCGCCTTAATTCCTAAAGGAAAGGTGAAATATATTAAAATGAATAAAGTTGACTGTGGTTGTGGTGATAGGAGCTGCCTTTGCAGAAACTTGGAAGAACCATACATATGACTAAGAGGAACTGGACTTTAAATTTTCCTTCTGGGCTTTTCCAAATGCCATTTCCATTGCCTCAGTGTCATTTAACTATAGACCTACCTGAAGGGTTTTCGGCCCAGCTCTCTACACTCTGATAATAAATAATCAAGTAACAGTGCACAAGTCAATATATCAATATTTTATCTGCTTCACCTAGACTCTCCCCTCTAATTCAGAATTTTTAAATGGAAAATTAAATTCATGCTTTTGCCTTTACTTTGCTGTGGTTTCCACTTTTTATTTTACGTGATTCTTACCTACCAGCTAGATAACAAAAATAATTCCATCTGCCCCACAGTAGCCCAAACTGTCACTGCAATCACAATACATTCAACTACTATGTTAACTATACTTTGCCTTATTTTATACATACTTCTATCCATGTCATCTACTTAACTAAATTTTATATCTTTTGGTGGCAGAAAGCTTGTCTTTTTATCCTCTGTAGCACAAGACACAGTGCCTTATACATAGTAAGTTTTAAATGCTTTTTTTTTACCAAAATGGAACCCCAAAATAGTCATCCATGTCTATGCTGATAAATTAATTAATTGATTCATTCATTCATTTATTCTTTTATTCCACAAACATGTAGCAAAGGCCTGATGTGCTAACCATTGTTGAAGATGCTTGAGATATAAACATGCATAACACAAAATCCAGAGAATCTGATAATGACCCTGGGTTTGAGATTATACCTCCTGAAACAATGAATATATTATTTAAAATAAAATCTGTAGTAGATTCTACATGAACGGATATTCTTATATGTAATGAAATTCAGATATCTACATCATCCCAAATCAATTTCACACTTCAACAGTTCCTAGAGCTTGGCCCTTTTTAATTACTCAGCTGGATCCTCTATTAACCAGCTATTTCTCACATTTTCAACTTTTTCAAATAATTCATTTAAGAGTTTCTCTAGATGATTTAAATAATTTCCTTAAATAGTTTCTGGAAGACTTTTTTTTCAATACCACTAGCATCATGTTAAACAATACTTTTTTCTTCTTTTCGTTTCCTTTCTTAGTCATTATTTTGGTCAATTTTAACTTGCTAATTCTCTACCTTAAAGCAACTTTTTCATTACTTGAATCCAGATATTTTAGATGCTCTTTTATATCTAATTGATTTTTTCTCTTGATGTTCTTGAACTCATTGTTGAGTCATTAATTAAAATGTTGAAGTCAATTCTACCCCCAAACAATAAAACAAATTAAATGAATTATAAATGCCTTTACCTTAAAAACCAAGTATGGGAGGGATAGCATTAGGAGATATACCTAATACTAAATGACGAGCTAATGGGTGCAGCACACCAACATGGCACATGTATACATATGTAACAAACCTGCACGTTGTGCACATGTACCCTAAAACTTAAAGTATAATAATAATAAAATTAAAAAAAACCGAGTATATATACCAAGAGTATAAATCCAGCATATTGAGGCAATTCACTGTATAACAAACATAATTTCTGTCTAATATTTACCAAAATTCTCAAAGCTGCATCAATTCTCCTGATTAGTCATACTTTACTTCCTTTTCCTTTATGCATTTTCTAAATTTAAATATAATTTTATTCTTTTAGTTATATTTTTAAATGTATTTTGTTCCATTGCGTTTTTAGTTTTTATTCATGCCAGCATTAGTAACACCACTCAAATTTTAATTCTAGTACAGAGCGATTTATATATAATCATTCTCACATTTTTTCAAACATGTAATATATAATCATTTTTATGAAATGTCAATTGCCTTGACTTTCTACTAGAAGCTCCACTCTCTACACTTATGATCAAAACAAAATAATATAAACAAGTATGAGCACCAATAAATACATGTGCAATGGCCCGATATAAGTTATATAAATATTTATGAATGTTTAATCTAAAAAACTAGACATTGACAGAATATAATTAAGAGAATGTGCTATGCAAAGAGCTAACTTTTGTAAGACCAGCCTACTTTAAAATATTGGTAAAGTAATTAATCAACTAATATTACCCAAATGCTGATGACCATCATAAAACATTCCAGGGGAGTACCAGTGCCGTGTTATGAAGTTTTATGAAAAGCAAATTATCTTTGTTTCCTTTCCTACTTCCAGTGCCAGTAACTATAATCCACAAGCAAACATCTCATCACCTGAACAATAACTGTCTGTGGTTGTCCAATCTTGAATTAAAAGAGCAAATTTCCCTATGTGTTTAGTGATGACAAGATGGCAACTGATTTGGCTTAGTGACTCGACAGACTTAATAATGACGAAATGTTTTCAAAAGCTGAACTATTCATACAAACTAAGAACATGGCATGTGTTCTTCTGAATATGGCTGAATGGGATAAAATAGGGAGGTTCTTGCAAATAGACATGTTTTTGAGATGGACAGAACATGAAATGGTGACTGAGAAGATTAACATTGTGAAGTCACTCGCCTATGGTAATCAATATCGACCTATACATTTTCTGTATTATTCTTATTCACTGTTTCCCAACTTAATTTTTAAACCATTTCCACGAGATAGAACCTCATATTTTAATATGTGAACCTGAAATGTGACATTTTGCTTTTCAGTTGGACTGAAAGAGCATATAATCAACAATTCTTTCTAGGATCAGTGTATTCTATGGGCTCTCTTGTTCTCTCTCTCTCTCTCCCTTTCTCACCATTCCCTTCCCTACCCTCAATAAAGCATCTGCATCTGTTACTTTCTAGAAACCTTTTAGATATCTCAGTCACTTTTGTTAGGCTTTTGTGTTTCTTAGTTGCCACAATTTCTCCCTTCTTTCAGCCACAACCCCAGGCAATTCCTACTAAAGAATGACACCAAACAACATGTCAAGAGCGTTTCAAAATTGCTGCCAGACTTCAGTGACATTCTTACAGCATATGGAGTACTGATGTGCTGAAAATATGGCAGAAAACTACCTGATGCTTACTGTGTCAGGAAGTTCCAGCCTGATGGAGTGCTCTGGTTCAGATTTGCAACATAAACAGGACTTTTACTGTTCTTTAACAAAGCAGCTAAGCAAAACTTACCAAAAATGTCTTTTTCAGTCAATTATATCTCCCAGCCCCCATTTTTCAAGCTCTGCTATTAAAAAAAGAAATAGTAAGATTAAACAAAGACTAAAATCCCTAAGCATGACATATAATCCTAGTAAAATAATTTAGCTATAATTTAAATGTGTTATATGTTGTCTTAAATCATCAAGACGATGTCACATGAGAGCTATGTGCTTGCTATTGTCTTTTATATAAGGCAAATTTCTTATAGATTATAAAACTAAGGCATTCAGTAAATACCCATTATTTATAATAAGCACACGTTTAATTGAAATATGAACTTTTAATTTGCTAATGAATTAGTATTTGTTTAACAATATGGACTGCATGCATATAAGTATGTAGGTAAAGTCACATGTATACTTATGTGCGTGTGTGTGTCACTAACAGTTTTTTCTTATTCTATGAGAACATTGTCTTAATTGAATTCTAGTTTAGAATTACATATTGTACAACAATTTCAGGCAGATGTGTTATTGCATGGTTTCCAGATGAAGGTAAATTTGTCCCACAGATTCTATATTTCCAAAAGTAAACTATATTCCTTTTTATGACAAACAAAAATATTGAAATTAATAATATTAGAGGATAATACAAGTGCCTTGGATGGGTCCTTGTAATTCAGTTTTATTATAGATAAAATCAAGAACCCTCAAGAAGATTGTGTAGTATTCATATACTTATTGTTGCCTTTTAATAAATATTTTTGAAATTTTTTTGTGTGTAAACGTTTTTTGGACATAAAATGCAGGTCACTTTAATAGGCCTTGAGCCCTTGGGCAAATTGCTAAAATTCACAAAGCTCAGTTTGCACAATATATATAATCATTGAAGTGTTCTTATAATAATAGACTGTTCTTGTAAGATCAATAAGATAATGCACATGCATTTAATAGCATGATATCTGGCAGGTGGTGAGTACTCAACAAATATGTCATCAATTTTATTTAAATTTTCTACTTTTTGATACATTTTTTTCTCAAACACATTTTGGAAATAGATATTAACTCTTGTGTATTTCTAGGAGGAACAATTTTTAGGTGAATTATTGGAGCGTTGGCTTCTCTATCCTCCATGTGTGACTATCCTCGAATCTTACTGAAAATTCTCTTAGGTATCTCTTGAATCTCTCCATGCCAGTCTGTCCTCATTCCCAATACCTAATTAGGCAAAATTCACCTCAACTTGAGCCTTCTATTTAAATCTGTAGTTGGCCTCACCTACCTTTTGAATCTATTCCCCCCACTAATTTGTAATAGAATCTCTTTTCTCCAAAATGCTGTTGTACTTCTCATCCTGTCATTGTTCCCAAGTAATAATTTCATACCCTAAATAAAGTCCCCATCCTATCTAAATTGCTCCAACACAAAATATAAATATTTTAACAATGTCGTTTTTGATGCTGCTATGTAACCACAATGCCAAAGCTTGACCGGAAAAAAAAGCATATGAAAAGAGAAGAAAACAGAAAACCAAATATATTAATAAAACACATTCTAAATAAATATTAGTGATAAAGTATGGTATGTGAAAGCATTAATACTTCAATCGGAAGTATAATTTATTTAGGAAATAGGAAGATTAATCTTATAATACTATTAAAATAATTCATTACATAAGTCAAAAAAAGCTATATCCATAGATATTTCAAAGTCATGGCAATCTAATCCAAATTTTTAAAATTAAAAATGAAATATGGAAATATTACCTACACCAGCATTAGAAGGATGCTTTTTTGACGTGAAGAAAGAAAGCTATTTTAAACTAACACATTGTAAATAGGTAAAGTAGAAAGAGAAAGAAGGAGGAGTCTGGGGAGAGAGGGAGAATCATTAAGTTCAGGAACAAAAGATGCATGTATATTATCAAGTGTTACAATTGCAATATTTCATATAAACTAATGAGGAAAATAACCATTGTAAAGGAGAGAAAATTTTTTTATTATTTATAAACATTTTCTCTCTTCATTTGAAATACTTAGAATAATAATCAGCAAAATATAAAATTAAATTATAATGTTTAATTATAAAATTAAATTGAATTAGAGTCTAATAAGAATAACTACAACAAAATAAATGAAGTCAATAGATTCCCTAAAATGAATAGAGTATGATGTAATGGAGGAAAATTCCATGCACTCCTGTGACTAAGCATAAAAATCTTTGGAAGTGGGCGTTCTCGTATGCGCCTTTAGTCCCAGCTACTCAGGAGGCTAAGGTGGGAGGATCACTTGGACCCAGGAGTTCCAGGCTACAATGAGTTATGATTGCACTACTGGGCCTCTCAAAGGAAATTTTTCAAAAAAGCCTTTGGAATAAAAAGGAAACATAGGAATTATTTACATGAAAAACTTCCAGGTATTTTTTTCTGAGAGCTATAAAATGTCTAAATGGTGACATAAGACCATTCATAAGAATAGTTAAGGCAAAATTGCACAGTTATCAGTTTGTCCAAATTAATGTGTCTGTATGCTACTTCACATACAGTGAGATAGGAACACCCTAGCTCCCCAGTTCCAACCAATCTCTTAATCTGTACCTTCCACTGGCCAAACTACCCAGTGTAACCGGAGTTGGCAGGCAACATACATGAAGGATTGGTCCCTTCAATTGGAAAGGAGGAGAACAGATCTAAGAGCAAACAAGTATGTACACGCACATTCATTGTGTATCTCACTCTTGGCTAGCATGATGCTACAGTTCTGTTACTCACTCTTTGCTATTTTTATACTTATAGCTATATTTAACTTGTACAACATGAGTTTATGTTTCCTTTTAATATGATGTAACTGTAAATAATACAAAGATGCTCTCAAAATCGTGCAAAAAAAGAACAGGGGCTGGAGGAACTCACTATATCCACTACTGAGGATGTTAATTCTTCAGCCAACATCTTACTGGGCCATGCTAAAATCAACAAACTGATTACAAAATTAAATACTTTCAACATTCTTCATACAAAATAGTAGAATAAGTAGAAAAAAAAGGAAGGATTTATTAATTTTAACGAATATATGCATAAGAATATGCTTTCTTGGTTTTATTCCTAGTACTGTGAATTAGCCTATAGCTGATATTTACGAATTTCTTTTTTTATGACTGTGTTTCCATTCCTTCATCCAAGGCATACAAGACTTAGAATTTCAAGTAAGTGCGCCCTTAACCTACAAATTTGATGGAATCCAGCTTTTAGACTAACATGTTTAGAACTCATTCCACATATTTTTGGCTTGTTTGTTTGTTGTTTGTTGTTTTTTTGAAGCAGAGTCCCGCTCTATCCCCCAGGCTGGAGGGCAATGGCACGATCTCGGCTCGCTGCAACCTCCGCCTTCCCCGTTCAAGCGATACCCATGCCTCAGCCTCCCGAGTAGCTGGGATTACAGGTGCCCGCCACCACGCCCAGATAATTTTTGTATTTTAGTAGAGATGGGGTTTCATCATACTGGCCAGGCTAGTCTTGAATTCCTGACATCAGGTGATCCGCCCACCTCGGCCTCCCGAAGTGTTGGAATTACGGGCATGAAGCACTGCGCCCCGCCATTCCACATATTTTCTTAGATATCCCACATCAATAATCAACATTTTGCAATTATTTTGCACTTGTCTTCCTGGGGATGCTGGCCTCTGATTTTGGTTACATGTCTGAAATCGAAGACAGACAGTGCACATGAGCCTTGAGGAGAAGAGCTTTCTCTTGCAAGCAACTGCTTATGATGAGGGCCATATTAGGTCTTTATTTCTAAAATAAGAAAAAAAGAAAAGAAAGAAAACCTCACCTGACAGAAGAAAAAGAGCTGCTTCTGTTGGCAAGAGAGGCTCAAAGTAACTGAGGGATTCAAAATTCTCAGAATTATCTGAATCCATCCAGATCGCCCCATCCAAGTTCTTTCCCATTCTTCCCAAATCAGTAAATCTGTATCCCAAACTCTACATAGAAGATGTGGTGAGGCTTTGCATTCAACTTTTCTTGAGATTCTGCTACAAAAACAATTAAGATCTGGGGCTTTTTTTTTTTTTTTTTTTTTTTTTTTTTTTTTTTTTTTTTTGCAATTTCTGTCCTAGAGTTAAAAGAAGTAAGAGTTAATTTTAAGTTTTACAAAAACCCTAGCTTTGGTAAAATGTGCTTTTCTAAGGTAAGAACTAATTCTTAAATTTTCTGATTTAATGTCATAACGTTGAATTTTCTGAATATCTTTTGGAATGTTTATAGAACCTCTGATGTTGACTGCTTTTTCATTACTGATGCTTGGTCTTGGTGCCTTTGCTATATCTAGATTTGCCTTGGCACCTGCTTATTAAATTTATTAGCCTGTTCAAAGAGTTTTTCAAATCCAATCTATTGAAAAATGATTTCTATTTTACTAAAGTCCACCCTAAATTTATTACTTATTTTTCATCTGTCTGCTTTATTTGACTTAAATTATAGTTTACATTCTAAACTCTAGAAATAAATAAGATTATTGATTTTCAGCTTTGTCCTTTTCTAATACATTCATTTAAAATGTCTGTATTTGTATAATTATAGCTGCAATTACACAAGAATGATATGAAGTGTTTTCATTATAATTCAGATCATAACTTCTCTTTTTCTCTTTGTTACTTTGTTGACCAATGAATATTACATAATTTCTAAAAATAGGAGATTTTTTAAACAGCTTTTTGTTATTGATAACTAGCTTAGTTATACTATGGCTAGATAACACAGCTAATATCCTTTCTGTTGTCGGGCATTACTGGCCCCTCATATGGTCAATTTTGGCAAATGTTACATGTACACTTACTCATACTATGAATTTCTTGTGACACATGTTTTTGTTGTTGTTGTTGTTTTATTTGTTTGTTTTCTTGAGACAGAGTCTTGCTGTGTCTCCCAGGCAGTGGAGTGATCTCAGCTCACTGCAACCTCCACATCCTGGGTTCAAGCGATTCTCTTGCCTCAGCCTCCTGAGTAGCTTGGATTACAGGCGCGTGCCACCACACCCAGGTAATTTTTGTATTTTTAGTAGAGAGAGGGTTTCACCATGTTGGCCAGGCTGGTCTCGAACTCCTGAACTCAAGGAATTCACCTGCAGCAGCCTCCCAAAGTGCCGGGACTATAGGTGTGAGCCGCCTGTAAGCCCAGCCAACCCATGTTTTAAATATGTCAATTAGGTTATCTTTATTTACAACACTGTTCAAATCTATATTCTTACATTTTGACTGCTTTTTCAATCTATTCCTAGGAAAAATTTGTTAAAATCATCCCCTGTGGTTTTGATTTGTGTCTATTTGTCTTTTATTTGGGCAATTATTGCTGTATATATTTTGATGACATGTTTAATTACATATAACTTTGGAATAAGCATATCTCCTGGTTTATTAAAAAGCATGATCATTATTAGACACAACCTTTATAATTATATTCTTAAATTCTATTTTTTAAATTAGAATATTTACGCAACTGTTTTCTCCCTCTCACATTCTGTGATATAATTTTTTGTCACTACCTTCAAACATTTTATTCCTCTTATTTAGAATATGTCTCTTTTAGCAGGATAAAGTTTTATTTTTTATCCTGTCTGACAAGTTTTATTTTAAATTTCATTATGTATAATAACATTTAACGTAACTAATATTGTATTGAGGTAGGTTTTTGACCTCTTTCCTGCAGTATGTAGCAACGGTTTAATGTGCTATCTTTCTATTTGTTTTATATTAGATTTTGTTTCTATTTTCTCTCCTTTTTATCTTGTTTTGAGTGAAATGAGTATTTTACTGATATTTCTTTTTTTCTTGCTATATTCTCCTGTTAGTTTTATATTCTTTCATTTTTCTTTCAGATAGCCTTCAGATTAAAATGTGATCCCTTGTCTTAATTCTTATATGTAGTAATACATTTATTATATCTGGACAATGCTATGACTAAAAATATTTTTTACCTTAATTTACCATCCTGCTATTCCCCATATGACATCATCATCATCATTAGTATTGTTGTATGTAGTCCATATTTAGTTAGATTTACTGAAATATCTACTTTTTTGTTACTTTCTTCTTTCCTGAAATTCAGAGCATCCATCTGGTATCATTTCCTCTTGACAATTCCCTTTACTATTTCTGGTTGAATGGTCAATTTTTTTTTTAAATGTGAAAATGCTTCTATTTACCTTCACTTCTGAAGCGTATTTTGCTGGATGTATATTTCATTTCTTAATAGTTTTGGAAAGTTCCTAACCATTATGTCTTCATGAACTCCCTCTCTCTCTCATTTCTGCATTCTTTAGTTCCTGGACTGCAATTATATCACCCACTTGTTAAGCTCTTTTCTGTTTTCTGTCATTTTATTTCCTGTATGATTTTCCCTGGATTTTCATCTTGCCTATCTTCTGGTTTATTATTTACACTTTACTATTATTGAGACCTCTATTAATCTGTATTTAATCAGCCGTTAAATGCATCAGTTGAGTTCTATTTTCCAATTATTGTGTATGTATTAGTTTTCTACTGATGCTCAAACTTAGTGCCTGAAAACACAACAGTCTATTAGCTCACAGTTCTGCAGGTCAAAACTCCAGGTGGGTTTCTGCTTTGAGTCTCATAGGGTCAAAATCAAGGTGATACCTATACAGGCCTCTTATCCAGAGGATCTGGAGAAGAATCGTATTCCAAATTGATTCAGTATCAGCTGAACACAGTTCTGTGCAGTTGGAAAGCAGAGGTTGCCATTTCCTTTTCTGCTGTTGGGTGGGGGCTTTCAGCTCCTAAACCACCTGCACTATTTGATGCAAAACACTTTCCAACTGCAGAGCCAGGAACAGCACATCGAACCCCACCATGATTTGAATCTCTGGCTTACTCTTCTGTTACTGACTGGAGAAAGCTCTCTGCTTTTAAACTGTCAATGTGATTAGATTAATTCCACCTGGATAATCTCGCTATCTTAAGATCAACTAATTAGTCATCTTAATTACATCTGAAAAATCCCTGTCATGCTGAACCTTAACATAATCATGGGAATAACATGAGAGGGCAAAGGTCATGGGCCCTCTGGAATTCTGCCTACCACAGTAAATCTCAGTGATAAAATCTCTATTGATTATTATTTTTTTCAGTTTTTGCTAAAATCGTCCGACATTTTGTTTTATTTCTTAAACAAATTAATCATAGTTAAAGAATTAGCTGATAATTCCAAAATCTGGGCTATCTTGTACATCTGTTGTTTCTCTTTTTAAAATTTTGACTTGTGTTCAATTGTTTTCTTTTTTCATACCTTGCTATTATTTATTTAATGACTGACATAGCATACAAAAAATTATAGAGTTTTTTGCCTGAAATACATGATTTTAAACTTCTGCCAAAACGATTATTTTATTTATTTATTTTTTGCCTTTGACAGACATTCCAGCTAGAAAAAGTTCATCTGGGATCAAACTAATATGATAAAGAATTTCAGTCTTTAAAAGGGCAGCTCTATCATGATGCGTCATAAATTACATGTTAGGTTCCCAGTTGAAAGCCCCAATTTATCAGCTACCTCCGACTTGGTGAGACTAGAGTTTCAAGTCTTGCCCCCTTCTCCAGAGACTGCTCAAAGCCCTAGTCTGCTCTCCCAGTTGCTCTTAAGCTATCTTATGTTCAGCTTTACCATCTTTCATGCATAATTTTAGAATTAATAAGTGCATGAAAAGGCAAAGTGGTATAAAATATTAGACTCAGCTCTCTTAGCTAATTTTCTCTTCATGATGAATGCCTCTATTCTTCATTGTTTTGGTAGCTACTTAACATCTTAAACAGTGGGCTTTAAAAGATCCACATTACTTAGTTGATTTGATTTTAATCAACTTTACTGAGACATAATTTATAAATGATGAAATGTACACATTTTGATTGTAAAGCTCAATGAGGTTTGACAAATGAATGTATCCAATGAAATTACCACCTTAACAATAAAGATAGAGAGCACTTCTATCATCAAAAAGATTCCCTTGTGACATTTCCTAGGCATTCCCTAATCCTTACATCTTACCCCAGGTTACCATTGATTAACTTTCTATCACTGTAGATTTGGCTTTCCAGAGTTTCCCACAAATAGAATCCTAATGTACTATGTTGTCATTTATCTGGCTTCTTTGTGCAAAGCAATGCTTTGGGAGGAGTCCATTCATGTTGTTTCATATAGCAATTCTTTTTTCTTTTTATTACTAAGTATTACTATATAGAAGGGTTTATCTTGTTGATGGACATTTGGGGTGTTCCAATTTTTTAATATTATGAATTAAACTGCTTTAATTTTTTGTAAAAGTTTGTGTTGTCATATGTTTTTACTTATATTGGGTATCTAGGAGTTAAAATATTGGGCCATAAGTTACATGTATATGTGACCTTATAGAAAGTTGCTAAACTAATTTTCAAGGGTCTCTCATTTTACATTTTCAGCAACAATGTATGAGATTTTCAGTTCTTCTACATACTTGTCAACACTTGGCACTGTCTGTATTTTAAATTGCACCTATTCTAGGGAGCTTACAATGATATCTTATGGTAGTTTTACTTCGTATTTAATTTATGAATAAAGATTTTAGTACCTTTACCCATGCTTATTTGTATATGAACTTTGTACAATATATGTGCAAATTATTGCCATCTTAAATTGTTTTGTTTTTTAATTCTTGAGTTGTAATGGTCCTTATACATTCTGGATACATATCCTCTTTCAGACATATGGATGGTGAATATTTTTTCCCAATGAGGGTCCTTGCCATTCCATTTTCTTAATGATATATTTTGAAAAGTAATTTTTAAAATTTTGATAAAATTAAGATCCTTATTTTTTCTTTGTCTTTTTTGTCTCCTATCAAAGAATTTATTGCCTATTTAATGTTTGCAAAAATGTTCTTTCATGTTTACTTCCAGAAGTTTTGTCACTTTACCTTTTCCATTTAGGGCTTTAAGCCAGTTCCAGTTAATTTTTGTGTAGGAGTGGGAGGTGATGTTTGAAATTCAATTTTTTCATACAGTTATTCAATTGTCTAGTACTATTCATTTAAAAGACATTATTTTTACTTTTGTAAAGCAATGTTTGAATTTTTGGCATTATATAAAAAGGGACTACATACATAGAGAGATAAGTTAATTTCTGAATCCTATATATTTGTGGGTTTATTTCTGGACTCTATTATCATCTCTTTCTTATATATATAGCCCTTTTTGATTGATATGATGACCTTTTGATATGAGATTTATGTATATATATATATAGAGAGAATCCTTTTAAAATTTGATATATGTGTGTGTGTATATATATAATACATATATATATACATACATATATATATATACACATATATATGAGGAACTGGACTATATTCCAATCATTGATGAATATGCCTATTCTTATACCAAATACCAAATATTGTTAATTATTTCAGCTTTGTAGTAAGTGTTGATTAGGTGTGGTCAGTCCTCCAATTTTGTTTTCCTTTTCAAAATTACTTTGGCTATTTTATATCTTTTGCATTCTTTTATAAGTTGTAAAATCAGTATGTAAATTTCTATCATTAAACAAAGGGTTGTTGGGCATGGTAGCTCATGTCTATAATTCTAGCACTTTAGGAGGCTGAGACAGGAGGATAACTTGAGGTCAGGTGTTGGAGACCCATTTGGGCAACATGGTGAGACCTTGTCTCTACAATTTGAAAAAAAAATTCATTGGGCATGGTGGTACCCACCTGTAGTCCTAGCTACACAGAAGGCTGCGGAGCTTGAGCCCAAGAGTTCGAGGTTGCAGTGAGTTATGATCATGCCACTACACCACTCCAGCCTGGGCAAGAGAGCAAGACCCAGTTTCAAAAAAAAAAAAAAAGATGCATGTAATTTTTGTTGCAATTGTGTTAACTATATAGGCATATTTTTGGAGAGAATGGTTATTTAACAATATTGATCCTTCTAATCCATTAATTTTGTTTTACTTATATCATTCTCAATTATTTAAGGCTTCTTTAATTTCTCTTTGTAGTGTTTTATAATTTTAAATATACCCTTGTATATTTTTTAATGAAACCCTATTTAAAAATCATTCCCTGACAACTTATACTAAAATAGTACCGTATTTACTATATAATTATTGTTTTATTTTTCTTCATACTACTTATCATTACCTAGCATTATATCCTATGTCAATTTTGTTTTCTACTGCCCATCTCACTGAAGAAGAGCAACCTTCATGAAGGTAGAGCTAGTACCTCTGTCATTCACTGCCTCATCACCAGTGCTAAGGAAAGGTCTTGGCTTACATTTGGCACTAAATGAATATTCACAAAGAATGAAATAAGATTCTTGCTCCAGCTATGTTACAATTTGCCTGCTCACAAGAAAAATTCTTTATTACATATCTTGTATGTAAGATCTTTTTTCTTTCCCCATTGATCTTGGTTCTCTTTTTCTGCCTTTACCCATATGTATCTATGATCTCTCCTTGACAAAATTTTCTGGAGAATGAGAGTTTCCAGGGAAGTTACTCTACATTTTCTCTTAAAGGCTGATTTTTTTTGTTTGTTTTAGTCACCAAGGAGTGGGAAGAAATGGGGTTCATTTCCATTATTCATATTACTTCTGATTATTATACACATGCACTTTTGATTTTTACAGGAGTGAAGTGGAACTTCCTTTAGCTTTTTACTCTGTGTAAAGAGATCCCTTCTCTTCATGCTCTAAAATGAGGTCTTCAGAGTCCACCTCTTAAATATAGTGTGATATAAGTTGGTATACCTAATCCACAGCACTGTTGTATTGGATCTAATTTAATAAGTTTGTTTTATGTATACCCACACATGCGCCCGTGCACACACACATACACACACACATTCACCACATATCATAGTGTCTGATACAGTTTTTTTCAGGACATTCCATTAAGTATCATATACTTCAGTGTGCAAACATTTAATAATATACAGGAAATTAAATAAAAGCACATAATTAGAGAGTATTTGGTACTCATTTTGAGGGAATATGTTGATAAATATAGGATATGTCCCCCAAAATATTATTTACTTAAAAAAAATGAAAATTCATTTGAAAATAATTAAATTTAAGCTCATTATTTTTTCTGACTCCTAACATATGAACATTACAAAGTGTTAATAGCATCTCAATTTCTTTTCCATTTAATTAATTATGTCTACTTACATGAGATCCAAAATCTACAAGACATTGCTTCTCTTAGAGAATTTGGTAATATAAACTTTATTTGTTGAATTTAGAAATATTTTTGGCAGCCACAGAAGTATCCCAGGATTATCTTATACTTTTGCTTATGTACAGGCTACCTCACAATATCTACTACTCAAAAAAAAGCAAAACAACATAAATTACTAACATCTTTTTCCCTTTTTTAAGGCTTATTTTTTTAGCGCAGTTTTAGGTTCACAGCAAAATTAAGAAGAAGGTATAGAGGGTTCCCATAAACACCCTGACTTCACACATGCATGACCTCCTCCATTATCAGCATCCTTCACCAGGGCGACACATTTTTTACAATTAATGAACCTACATTGACACATCATAAACAGCCAAAGTCCATAGTTTACAGCAGGAGTTCACTCTTGGTGTTGTACATTCAATGAGTTTGAACAAATGTATAATGACATGTATCCATCATTATTGTGTCATACACAGTACTTTTGCTGCCCCTAAAATCCTCTGTTTCTCCTCTTCATCCCTCTCTACCTCCACCCCTTGCCAACCACTGTCTCTTAAATGTCTTTAACTTTTGTCTTTCCCTAAATATCATAGAGTTGGAATCATACAGTATGTAGCCTTTCCCAATTGACTTCTTTCACTCGGTAGCATGCATTTAACTTTTGTCCATATCTTTCTATGGCTTGGTAGGTCATTCCTTTTTAGCACTGAATTGCCTGGATGTAGCAGAGTTTATCCATTGGCTGGATGTACCACAGCTTATTCTTTCACCTACTGAAGGACATTCCTGAATATTTCCAAGTTTTGTCAGTTAAGAATAAAGCTACTATAAACATTTATATAGCAGGTATTTGTGTGAATGTAAGTTTTCAGTTTCTCTGGATGAATGCCAAGAAGCGTGTTTGATGAATCATGTGGTAAACATACTTATAGCTTTGTAAGAAATGACCAAACTATCTTCCAAAGTGGCTGTACCATCGTGCATACTTACCAGTAATGAAGGAGAGTTCCTGTTGCTCCACATTCTCATCAGTTTTTGGTGATGCTAGAGTTTTATATTTGGGCCAATCTAATTCTTAGGTAATGGTATTTCATTTTTTATTAATTTGCATTTCCTTGCTGACATAGAATGTGGACCATCTTTTCATATGCTTATTTTCAATCTGTATATCTTCTCTGATGAGGTGTCCATTAAGATCTTTGGCCCATTTGTAAAGTGGAGTGTTTTCTTATTGTTGATTTTTAGGGGTTGTTTGTGTATTTCAGATAACAGTCTTTCATCAGATGTGTCTTTTGCAAATATTTTCTCCCACTCTGTGGCTGGTCTTCTCATTCTCTTGACATTGTCTTTGACAGAGCAGACGTTTTTAATTTTGATGCAGTCAAGTTTGTCAATTATTTCTTCCATGTATTGTGCCATTGGGGTTGTATCTAAAAGTCATCATCATATGAAGGTCATACAGGTTTTCTCTTATGTTATCTTCTACAAATTTTATAATTTTGTGTTTGCATTAAGGTTTATGGCTCATTTTCAGTTTATTTTTCTGAAGAGTGTAAGGTCTGCATCTATGTATTTTGCATGTGAATGTCCAGCTGACCTACCATCATTTGTTGAAAAAAGTATCTTGGCTCCATTGTACTGTCTTTGCTCCTTTCTCCAAGATCAGATAACTTTGCTTATGTGGGCCTATATCTGGGCTCTCTATTTTGTTCCATTGATACATTTTCTATTATTTTACCAATAACACACTGTTTTTATCACTGTCACTTTATAATGAGTTTTGAAGTTGGGTAGTATTAGTTCTCCAACTTTTTCCATTTTCTTCAATACTGTGTTGGCTAGTCTTGGTCATTTGCCTCTCCTTGTAATGTATCAGATCAGTGTATTGATACCCACAAAATAATTTGCAGTGACTTCAGCTGGGATTGCATGCAATCTACACATTTACTTGAGAAGAACAAAAATCTTGACAATATTGAGTCTTCCTATCTATGAATACAGAATATCTTCTTTGATGTCATTCATTGGCATTTTTGTAGTTTTCTCTGATTTTGTTCATCTGCAATTTGTAGTTTTCCACATATTAATACCTTTTATAGATATTTTTTTTATTTATACCTGAGTATTTCATTTTGGGGTTTGCTAATGTAAATGGTATTGGTATTGTTTGTAATTTCAAATTCTACTTGTTTATTGCTGGTATACAGAAAATTGGTTGACTTTTATATATTAATCTTGTATACTAAAATCTTGCAATATTAGTTCTAGGATATTTCTGTCAATTGTTTTATATTTTTTACAGAGATGATTATGTCTTCTACAGATAAACCCAGTTTTATTTTTTCCTTCCCAATTTATATTTGTTTTTTTCCCTTCCTTTTCTTGCTGCATTTGTTGGTTCCTCTATTACAGTGTTGAAAATGATTGGTGAGAGGGGACATACTTGCATTGTTGCTGCATCTTAGTGAGAAACCTTCAAATTTGTTATAATTATGATGTTAGCTGTAGGCCTTTTGTAGATATTCTTCATCAAATTTAAGAAGTCTTCCTCTATCCCTAGTTTACTAAGAGCTTTTATAATGAATAGGTGTTAGATTGTATCAAATTCTTTATCTGCATCTATTTATATGAATATGTGATTTTTTTATTTTTTAGCCTGTCAATGTAATAGCTTACATCAATAGATTTGGGGTTTTTTTTTGTTTTTCTTTATTTCTTCTAAAAAAATAAAAAAATGGGATACATGTGCAGAACATGCAGGTTTATTACATAGGTATACGTGTGCCATGGTAGTTTGCTGAACCTATTTACCCATCCTCTAATTTCCCTCCCCTAGGCCCCCAACCCCAACAGGCCCTGGTGTGTCCTGTTCCTCTCTCTGTGTCCAAGTGTTCTCAATGCTCAGCTCCCACTTATGAGTGAGAACATGCAATGTTTGGTTTTCTGTTCCTATGTTAGTTTGCTGAGGATGATGGCTTCCAGCTTCATCCATGTCCCTGCAAAGGACATGATCTCATTCCTCTTTATGGATATTCCTTATATGGAATACTGCATAGTATTCCATAGTGTATATGTACCAATTTTCTTTATCCAGTCTATCATTGATGGGCATTTGGGTTGGTTCCATGTCTTTGCTATTGTAAATAGTGCTGCAATAAACATATGTGTGCATGAGTCTTCATAGTAGAATGATTTATATTCCTTTGGGTTTATGCCCAATAATGGGATTGCTGGGTCAAGTGGTATTTCTGGTTATAGATCCTTGAGGAATTGCCACACTGTCTTCCACAATGGTTAAACTAATTTACATTCCCACCAACGGTGTAAAAGCATTCCTATTTCTCCATAGCCTCGCCAGCATCTACTGTTTTCTCACTTTTTAATAATCACCATTCTGACTGGTTTGAGATGGTATCTCACTGTGGTTTTGATTTGCATTTCTTAGATACTCAATGATGTTGAGCTTTTTTCATATGTTTGTTGGCCATGTAAATGTCTTCTTTTAAGAAATATCTGTTCATATGCTTTGCCCACTTTTGGATGAGGTTGTTTGGGTTTTTTTTTTTGTAAATATGTTTAAGTTCCTTATAAATTCTGGATGTTAGACCTTTGTCAGATAGGTAGAATGCAAAATTTTTCTCCCATTCTGTAGGCTGCCTATTTACTCTGATAATAGTTTCTTTTGCTGTGCATAAGCTCTTTAGTTTAATTAGATCCCATTTGTTAATTGTAGCTTTTGTTGCAATTGCTCTTCACGTTTTTGTCATGAAGTCTTTGTCCATACCTATGTCCTGAATGGTATTGCCTAGGTTTCCATCAAGGGCATGGAACTGGACAGAGGATCTGATGGACAAATTGACAGAAGTAGGCTTCAGAGGATGGGTAAAAAAATCTATGCTGACCTAAAGGAGCATGTTCTAACCCAATGCAAAGAAGCTAAGAACCTCAATAAAACTTTAGAGGAATTGGTAACTAGAATAACCAGTTTAGAGAGAAACATAAACGACCTGATGGATCTGAAAAACACAATACGAGAACTTCGTGTATACACAAGTAATAACAGCCGAATTGACCAAGTGGAAGAAAGGATATCAGAGTTTGAAGACCACCTTGCTAAAATAAGACATGCAGACAAGAATAGAGAAAAAAGAATGAAAAGGAATGAACAAAGCCTCCAAGAAATATGGGACTTCACACAAAGACCAACCTACGACTGACTGGAGTACCAGAAGGAGACAGGGAGAATGGAAACAAGCTGGAAAACACACTTCAGGTTATTATCCAGGAGAAATTCTCCAACCTAGCAAGAGGAGCCAACATGGAAATTTGGGAAATACAGAGAAGACCATTAAGATACTCTACGAGAAGTTCAACCCCAAGACATAAACATCAGATTTTCCAAGGTAGAAGTGAAGAAAAAACTGCTAAGGGAAGCCAGAGAGAAAGGCCAGGGCACTTATAAAGGGAAGCTCATCAGACTAACAGCAGACCTCTCAGCAGAAACTCTACAAGCCAGAAGAGATTGGGGACCAATATTCACCATTCTTAAAGAAAAGAATTTTCAACCCAGAATTTCATATCCAAACAAACTAAGCTTCATAAGCAAAGGAGAAGCAAAATCCTTTCCAGACAAGCAAATGCTGAGGGATTTCGTTACCACTAGGTCTGACCTGCAAGAGCTCCTGAAAGAAGCACTAAACATCAAAGGAAAAAGTGGTATGAGCCACTGCAAAAACACACCAAGATATAAAGACCAATGACACTATGAAGAAACTGCATCAACTAATGTGCAAAATAACCAGATAGCATCATGATGACAGGATCAAATTCATACATAACAATTCTAACCTTAAATGTAAATGGGTTAAATGCCCCAATTAAAAAAGACAGACTGGCATGTTGGGTAAGGAGTCAAGATCCATTGGTGTGCTGTATTCAGGTGATCCATCTTACATACAGAGACACACATATAAGGCTCAAAACAAAGGGATGGAGGAAAATTTACCAAGCAAATGGAAAGTAAGAAAGAAAAAAAAAAACAGGGGTTGCAATCCTGGTCTCTGACAAAACAGCAAAACAGACTTTAAACTAACAAAGATCAAAAAAGACAAAGAAGGGCATTACATAATGGTAAAGGGAACAATTCAACAAGAAGAGCTAACTATTCTAAATATATTTGTACCCAATAAAGGAGCACCCAGATTCATAAAACCAGTTCTTAGAGACCTACAAAGAGAATTAGACTCCCACACAATAATAGTGGGAGACTTTCACACTCCACTATCAGTATTAGACAGATCAACGAGACAGAAAATTAACAAGAGTATTCAGTACTTGAACTCAGCTCTGGATCAAGTGGACCTAATAGACGTCTACAGAACTCTCTACCCCAAATCAACAGAATATACACTCTTCTCAGTGCCACATGGCACTTATTCTAAAATCCACCATGAATAGGTTTTTTGATTATTGATCCCATCTTGCATACCTGGAATAAATGCTATTTAGTCATGGTTTATAATATACATTATAAAGTACACTTTGTACATTTTTGGATTCAAATAGTTAATATTTTGTTGAAGATTTTTGCATCTATGCTTATGAGACATATTTCATTATAATGCCTTGATCTGGTATTGGTATCAGGGCAATGATGGCCTCATAGGATAAGTTAGAAAGCACTCCATCTGCTTCTAGCCCCTGAAAGAGATTGTAAAGAATTGTTGTAATTTTTTCCTTAAATATTTACTGGAATTACCCATCTAGGCCAGATGCTTCTATTTTGGAAGGTTATTAATTATTGACTACATTGATATTATTATAAATATCTATATTAAATATAGATATAAGGAATAGCTAACAATGTCTTTAATAGATATAGACCAATTCAAATTGTCTATTTCTCCTTATGTGGGTTTGGCAGGTTTTTTCTTTGAAGAAATTGGTCTATTTAATCCAGGATATTACAGTTGTGGGCACAGAGTTACTCATGGTATTTCTTTATTATCCTATTAATGTCCATAGGAGCTGTAGTGGTGTCCCCTCTTTCATGTCTGATACATGTAATTTATGACCTTTCTCAGTTTCTCTTAGTTAGCCAGATATAGGCTTATCAAGTTTATTGACATTTTAAATAACCAGATTTGGTTTTGTTAATTCTTTCTACTGATTTCCTGTTTTCAATTTCATCTATTTCTGCTCTAATTCTTATTATTTCTTTTCTTCTGCTTCTTTTGGACAGAATTTGCTCATCTTTTTCCAGTTTTATAAGGTGGATGATTAGATGATTGATTTCAGACCTTTTTTTCTTCTCTAATATATGCATTCAATGACATAAATTTCCCTCTAAGTGCTATTTTTGCTATATTTCACAAATTTTGATAAGCTTTGCTTTCATTTCATTTGGTTCAATGTAATTTTAATTTCTTTTGAAATTTCTTCTTTAACTCATGTGTTATTTAGAAACGTGTTGCTTGATCTCCATGTATTTTGGGCTTATCTTGTTATCTTTCAGTTAGTGATGTCCAGTTTAGTTTCATTGAAGTCTGAGAGCAGACATTGCATTTCTATTTTTTAAGCTGTGTTTTAATGCCCAGAATGAGTTCTATCCTACTGATGTTCCATGTGAGCATGAAAAGAATGTGGATTTTGCTGTTGTTGAAGTAGTTTATAAATATTGATTATATCCAGTTGGTTGATAGTGTTGTTGTGTTAAACTATTTCCTTACTGATATTTTGCCTGCTGGATTTATTTATTTCTGATAGAGAGATGTTGAATTCTTCAACTATGATAATGGATGTGTCTATTTCTCCTTGCAGTTTTATTAGTTTTTGCCTCACATAGTTTTATTCTCTGTTGTTAGGCACATACATATTAAGGATTGTTATCATTATCTAATGGCCTTCTCTATATCTGATAATGTTCCTTGCTTAGAAGTCTGATCTTTCTGAAATTAATATAACTATTCCTGCTTTCTTTGCATTAGTGTTATCATGATATATTTTTGTCTATCCATTTACTTTCAATCTATATGTTACTTTACATTTTAAATGGGCTCCTTCTAGACAACACACAGTTGGGTCTAGTTTTTTATTCAATCTGATAATCTCTGTCTTTTAATTGGTGAATTTTGACCATTGAAATTCAAAAGGATCATTTATATAATTGGATTAATCTCTGCTGTATTTGTTAATGCTTTATATTCATTGCTTTTGTTTTTTGTTCTTATTTTTGTCTTTTACTTTTTTTCTGGCTTTTGTAGTTTTAACTGAGAATTTTATATAATTCTATTTCCTTTCTTAGCATATCAATGATACTTTCTTTTTTACTTATTTAGTGGTTGATTTATAGCTTGTAATATGCATTTACAGCTAACTCAAGCTACTTTCAAATAACGCTATACCACTTAAAGGATATCTTATAATAACAAAATAATCTTAATTTATTTCTCTCCTATCATTGATGTCATTCATTTGACTTATATATAAGCATACATGACTATATATGATATATACATAAGCATAAGTAATATAATGCAATGTTACCACTATTATTTTGAGGAAACTGTTATCTGTTAGGCCAATTAAGGACAATAAAAGTAATAAGTTTTATTTTACATTCCTTTATTCTTGCTCTGATACTTTTCCTTTTTTATATAGATCTGAGTTTTTTACTCAGCTCTATTATTTTCCTTTATTCTTTTTTATAATCTTTTTTGATGGAGTTTCTGTCTTGTTGCCCAGGCTGGAGTGCAATGGCATGATCTCAGCTCACTGCAACCACAGCCTCTCAGGTTCAAGCAATACTCCTGCCTCAGCCTCCCAAGTAGCTGGGATTACAGGAATGCACTGCCACACCCAGCTAATTTTGTATTTTTAGTAGAGACAGGGTTTCACCAGGTTGGTCAGGCTAGTCTCAAAACTCCTGACCTCAGGTGATCCACCTGCCTCAGCATCCCAAAGTGTTGGGATTACAGGCATGAGCCACCACGCCTGGCCAAAAGTAGTTTTTAAGAATAAAGGAAAATAGGCCCGGCGTGGTGGCTCAAGCCTGCAATCCCGGCACTTTGGGAGGCTGAGGCGGGGCAGATCACGAGGTCAGGAGTTCAAGACCAGCCTGACTGACATGGTGTAACCCCATCTCTACTACAAATGCAAAAATTAGCCAGGCATGGTGGTACACACCTGTAATTCCAGCTACTCAGGAGGCTGAGGCAGGAGAATGGCATGAACCCGGGAGGCGGAGCTTGCAGTGAGCCGAGATCATGCCACTGCACCCCAGCCTGAGTGACAGGGCGAGACTCTGTCTCAAAAAAAAAAAAAAAAAAAGACAAAACAAAACAAAACAACAACAACAACAACAAAAATCTTCTTTTAACATTTATTGCAAGATAGGACTATTCCTTCAATTTTTATTTGTTTGAGAAATTATTTCTTTTTTACTTTTGGAACACACTTTCACAAGGTACAGAATTCTAGGTTGTTATTTTCTTTTTCTCTCAACACTTTAAATATTCCACTTCACTCTCTTATTGCTTGCATGATTTCTGAAGAGAAAGATTATCTTTGCTTCTATGTAGGTAAGGTATGGTTTTCCTCTAGCTTCTTTCAAGAAGATTTAAAAGAAAAACTTTTTGGTTTTCTGTAGACTGAAAATAACATGCCAAAATGTAGGATTCTTTAAAAATCTTGCATTGTGTTCTCTGAACTTCCTCGATTTGTGGTTTGGTATCTGACATTAATTTGGGGAAAGACATTATTGCTTCAGACATTTATTCTGCTTTCTCTCTTTCTTCTCCTTCTGGTATTCCCATAACCTGTATGTTACATTTTTTACAGTTGTCCACAGTCCTTGCATATTCTGCTCTGTTTTTTTCAGACTTTGTTATATTTCCTCTTTAGTGTTTGAAGTTTCTATTCATGTATCTTCAAATTCAGAAGTTCTTTACTCAGTCATGTTCAGTCTACTAATACGTCCACCAAATGCCGCCTTTATTTCTGTCACTGTTTTTGGTAATTTGCATTTCTTTCCTGTCCTTCCTTTGCATTTTTGTCTGTCTGCTTACATTGCTCACCCGTTCTTGCTTGCTGTTTATTTTTTCCATTAGACCCCTCAGGATCTAATTATAGTTGTTTTAAACTTCCAGTCAGATAATGCCAACAGTCCTGTCATGTCTGGTTCTGATATTTTCTCTTGCCTTTTCAAATTGTGTGGGTTTTGTCTTTTGATATGGCTGGTAAATTTTCTTGATAGCAAGATATGATAGTAGCAGAAACTGCTGTGAATAGGCCTTCAGTAATATAGTGGCAAAGTGTCGGGGCACAGGGAATGTTCTATAGTCCTGTGATTTGGTCTCAGTCTTTTTGTAAGCTTATGCCTCTGTACTTTGAACTTCACGAGTGTTCATCAGCTATTTTCTTCCATCTTAGGTAGGACAGAATGACTAGAGTGAGCTGGAGTTGAGTATTTCCCCTCCCCTACATGGAAGGCTAGAGGGAGTTGAAGTTGGATATTTTCCTTTATCCAGATCAGTTTGGCTCTGATAATGTACCAGCAGATTAGACTCTAGTTGAATAGTTTCTCGTGAGGGCAGGCCTTATTTAAAAAAAGAGTGTTCTAACATATTTCAGAATGGTTCCTTTTCCCCTCCCCCTGGTGGAAGCATGAGGGGATTTTTCTATTATATTTATTGTGGAATCTGGTTGAGCTCCTGAAGGTAAATCTCACAACATTGTGCGGACTCCCCTACATCTGGTTCCTCTCGAGTTTTAACTCTCAAACTTGTCTACACTGCCCCTCCTCCAGCAATTTGTCAATTAAAATTGTTTTCTCTACCCCAACACTGGTTCTCATAGCAGTTCCATGACAAGTCTCTGCTTCGCTTAGTTGGGACTTTCTGTATTCACTTGTCTATCCCTCCAATCTTTAGGGCAGTGGGTTTCTCTATGTCCTCCCTTCTCTTATAAATCTATGAAAAGTTAATTTTTCAGTCTATTTAGCTTTTTCCTTGTTGTTAGAATGAAGGGGTGACTTCCATTCTCCTTCCAAGTGATACCAAAAATTAGATATCTTTGCATTTTAATTTTTATTAATAAATAAAGGTGCAATGGGGAAAAGATTAAAACATAAAATGTAGTCATATAATAAAGAGGTGACCCAATGACTGCTAGGCATAATTTTGTGTGTGCACACTTTAGAGTTATACAGAACAGATTTAGAATAAATGTTAAAGGACTTTCTATTGTCTCTTATTCTTAGTGATATCATCCAAGCACTGGTAAAACTGAAAACATTGTAGAGAAAGTGTAATACGGAGAATGAAGGCAGTATGTCCTAGCTTCCGATACTGTCTTCCTCTTAAGCTCCATTTTCTTTATTTCATAGAAATTGATTTCAAATAGGTGGTTTTAAAACATCTGTTTTGTTTAAATCGTATATGTTAAGCATTAGTCATCTCCATCTAAAAGAATTTTTGGAAGAGACTTTATTATTTCACACACCTACCTAACATAAATTTAAAGCTACATGTAAACTCCACCTAAGCAGGTATTATTTTAGAACTTGTTATGTCTGTATCCCCAAAGCCTAGTCCAAACTTTGACATATGATAAGTACTTAATAAATATATATTGAATGAAAAATGAGTGAACTGAAGTAATAAGATTTAAATATTAAATGAGGAAATTAACAAAATAAAAGTTAGCATTATTATATGACCCTCATAACTCTAAAAATTTTGTGCTGCTAAGTTTTGGTCTAAAGTATTAAAGGATCTTTATGGACCTCTAAAGAATTATTTATTGGTTAGATACCAAATCCATTAGGTCAAACATAGGTTGAAGAGGAAAATTTTGTACGGATGATTTTGGGTACTTATTTTCTTGGTACCTAAAAATACAGATACACTTCTGACATTTGACGAATACTCTCAGAATGCATAAATTGGAAATTAATCACGTGCGGTCATTAGGGCTCGTTGTTTGCTCATCTATGTTGAGACTGAAATCAATCAAGCGAACTAGCCTCTGTGCAAAATGTCAGTTGATTCCAGGCTTATGAACAATAAAGCTAATAACATTACCGTTATTGAGTTCAGATATTATTAAATTAATAAAATACATCCAGGATTTTAAAAAATCAATTTTATTTCAATACTCATTTTTTTAACTAAATAAAATTAACTTCAGGCTTTGTTGCTGTTGTTTTGTTTTTCTGTTAGTTTTATGGTTCACCTTGACACGTTGATATTCTTAATGTTTGATCTATTGCAATAACCTTTTAACAGGTTTCACTGTCTTGGGCATCTCATCCATTCGATTTATCTTGAATTGCAAATGAATAGCACTGTTCCTGGCTCCTCTGATCAAAAACCTGCAGGGACTCCCCATTACATAAAGAACAAAATCTGGATTCCTCTCCCTTCAAGAAATGCTCCCTGCTGCTTCTACCTGCCTCTTAAATATATTTCAAACACAATAATTTCTTTCCATCGTCACTGCTAACATCTTAGTTCAGCCTACCTCCACTATTACTTGGATCATCACACGAGAAACCTCCATGGTCTTTCTCTACTCTTGCCTTTCTCTACCTGCAACATCATACGGACAGCAGGGTGATATATATTTCAGATTAAACCTGATCACATTCTCACAAAACTGTAGCTTTGCACTCTTTGGTGGTGTGGCCATTTGCTGTTAGATATATTTCCAATCTCTTCTGTGCCAATCTTTATCACCGGGAGCTATTTCTTAAACTTCCTTGCTCCTGGCTGGTTTCACGCTGTAGGTCGCTAAAGTGGGAGGGCAGTATCTTCAGCTGTAGTTTCAACTTTTTCCACTTGAAGTCACTTCCTCTGTGGCCCTGTTTATCACCAGAATGCTAACCACGTTCCTCTCCTTCATACTACCTCCTCCCTATATCCCTTCAGCTTAATAGTAAATAGTGTCTTCCATCTGTACTAAATTTATAAATTGCTTCACTATCCTCTTCTTGGCTTCCTAACTCTTCCATCACCTGTGTAATTAGATCTGAGTATAAAATCCCTTCTGCTTGAAGCATGCGTAGTGGTTTCTGTTTTTCTGATTGAGCCGTGATTGATACATGGCTCTACCTATTTTACTTGGGGTAAAATTCAGTGGCCTTGTGGCTTTGAGATCCTCTGTGACCTGTTTCCCCTTACATTGGTAGCTTCATCTCTGACCACTTTCCTCTTTACTCACTGGAAATCCACTGTAATAATATCCTATTTTTGATGCCAGGAACATCCTTGCTTCTACTGAGTCTAGGAACATACTACTTATCTTTTAGTTCTAAACATGAATGCATTTTTTAATAAAAACCTTCACTGACTTCCTAAAATCATTAATTTTCCTATGGTAACTTAGATTGCCATAAAATATTTTATCGTGTTATGATTTCATTAAGTTACTATCTCCCCTATTAATCCGTGAGCCCCAAAGCAGAGGGAATGTGGATTGGACAAGAGACTAGCAGAGTGGCTGACACAAAGGTAGCTGTCAGTAAGTGTTTGTTAAACTCACTTCAAAATCCCCATTTGTTCAGGTAAAAAGAAATCTTGAATGCTAGGTACTAGGGAGGCAAATAATTTGTATTCTGGTAGAGATGAGAAATAGGAGATAAAAGATTGAAATAAGATGTGTTAGAAGCCATGGGGGATATGAACACATAGGAGCATCACAGAGAAGATTCTAGCATGGACTATGGAGGGGTTGGGTGAGTCAGCATGAAAAAAACAACGCAGGTGAATTTGCAGGTATAAATATTTACAGCAGGGAATCTCTGCTGTTGACATACACAAGGATCCAGCGTTTTAAAAACCAGTGCCCATGCTGCCTCACTCCTGAATAAATAGACTAATGAATTCTGGTGTGGTTGCCTGATTTTGCTGCTATTGTTATTCTATTCTGCAGCCAGGATTGAAAATAGCTGATTTGTTAAAGTATTTAGTACATGCAAAACCATGGAAATATTAAAGAAAGGTGAGTAAGTAAACTTCGCACAGCACATTTATAGCTGGGCCCCTGCAAATATTACTTGGGGTGAAGGAGAATAAGGTAAAACAAACAAACAAACAAAAAACAAGAAATGAGTTAATGGAAGTAGGCAGGGACCTAGTGATAAGCTACTTCTTGGAGTTTACATTTTATAATGACAGAAATGGGAAGCCATCAGAACATTTTAATCAGGAAAGGAGGGACCTGATTAGATAAGAGTTTGAAAGAGATCACTGCTAACTCTAATGGAGAATAAGTTAATAGGCTAGACTGAAAGCAGTTCATAGTACCAAGCGGATGTGTTTTGGAGAAATGCCTGTGATGGGGCATCAAGACAAAATGCCTGAGAGTTGTTCTGAGTGTATTTGCAAGGAGCTATTTTCTGCATTTACCTGTGTTGCTTGAAACATCAATTCTAACCTTTTTGTGATTAAAGGAGTTTAATTCAAAATACACATCTAAAATTAAGCAAAATACAATATTTTTATAACTGAAAGCATCCTTATCTCATACATTCTTCCCAGCTTTGGAAGACCAAATTTCTAGACTGTGTCACCTGTACTGTACAGATTACATGTAAGGTGTGATGTCATCATTGCCCTTGCACTAGGGTATTTGAGTGTGCACTTACAGCTCAAAGGACATGTACCTTTAGATTGGATTTTAAGCTGCCTTTTACTTTGTACAATTCATTTGAAAACAGAATGGTCAGCCATGATATTGGAAGATTCAAAGCAGCTATTCTTTTAGATTCCTCTGGCCCTGTAGAAAAACTGTGCAAGTTTCTGAGGGTGAAAAAGTAAAGGATAACCTCCCCCGCTCTTACAAGGAGAAAAAACAGAAGTGTGCATTCCTATATGTCACTGTTCCTTAAGGCTAAGAAGCCTTATCCTGCCTGCACTCCCTCCCTACCCCCCAGTAGCCCTTCAATATAGTTGGTGAGAGTTCTGCTCTACTCTGGTCGCTGCTCTCAGGCTCAGGGGGCCCAGTATTCCATGGGGTTTCCTATGGAGACACTCAGCCAGTTCCACCAGCTGTGTTGAATTGAATAGGGTCACCCTGAGTAGTGACTTTTCTTCCACCCCTGTAGGAGACAAATAAGCACATGGCTTATTTGGACTTGTGAGTGGCCTTCTCTCTGTGTGCCCTATGTGGCCAGTTGTTTCAAGTGCCTCTTGTTCCAGCTCTACATATCAGTTAAGCTTAGGTTACTCAATTGCTTGCAGGTAGCTGAGTGTGTTGGATGTTTTAGTTGGGACTAATCTCTGGTTCCCATATGGGGACAAGAGTATTATCACACTTCAGCCCACTAAAAAAAATATATATATAAGTGGGGGAAGTAAAAGCTTTGCAGGTGTTCTCCTCCCTAATGGACCAAAACACTGCAGCTTGTGTATACTTTTATTTGTAAAGTGTTTTTCTCTGTCTGCATGTTTAGAATAAGAGTAGTGTAAAGCACTGCTGTTTAATTACTAGCAGGGCCAAAGATTTCATTTTAATTCAAGATTATTTAAATAAAAACATTATTTATAAATGAAGTGCTGTTTTCTGTCCAAACATGTAAGAATACTGCTCTAGCTGAGATCCAACACTGTTACAGAAGAATTTAATGTTTTTATGTTAGTTTTTTTAGAATTAGAATTTCTATTAAACCACTCATTATTTTAATCATTTCCAATTTTAAGATAAAATAAAACACTGTAATACCCATATGTACCAGTATTTCACTTATACCAATACTGATTATCTTATATGCTAGTAAGATATCAATATTACTGTTTTTCCATCTAGTGGATAAAACCAAGTGATTGCCATCATAATCATTATCATGATGAAAACTTATATTAACACCATTTATATTTGCATTTTACTTGTTACTTTTTGAAGTGCACATGTATTCATCATCAATCAGCAAATGTTTATTGGGAGCCTACTTTGTTCTGTGTAGTTTGCCAAAGTGCAATGGAGATTGCAGTCAATATGGGAAAAACTCAAGTAAACCACCTAAAATACTTATAGAGTGATATTAGACTATGATATTTCATCTATCTACATAATTATATATCTCACTATAAAAAACACTGAGGAAGAGTACCAGCTAAAAAGTTTTATGGACCTATATCTTTATCTGGAACATGAAAAAGCCCAAATGAAATCATTTGTAGGATTTTTCTTCTTCTGATGTGGTGTCCTGTAGCATATAATCTTTATTTCTAATACCAAAAAAAGTGTATACTAGAGTTAGGAATTTAGTTCAAACTTAGTAGAAGTGTAAGGACCAGTAAACAGAAAGAGGAGATCTGAAAAAAGACAGAGAGACACGATCATGGCCACATCAAACAGGAGTAAAGGCTAGGAGACTTTAAGAAACTTAACATCGTCTTCCCAATTAAATGAAGAACAGGCCGTATTTTCACAATTTTTGTTTTACACAATATGTCTCATTTGAGCAACTTCAGGTATTGTTTTAGGGCAGACCCAGCAATTTAACTCATGGAGTGCCCTTCTTCTGTAAATTACCCCAAAACTGGCCTAACACAGTTAAGTAAGTTTTAAAACACAGATACTTTTGCAATAAGATATATTTACACACACACACACACACACACACACACACACATTTATAAGGAAATTTCCTGAAACATAAAATAGGCAAGCAATTTATAGAAAAAGGTTTGAATTGGCTCTAGATATCATTTTTAATCTGTCAGCAGATGGGTTGGAAAGGAATTAATTACTCTATAATCCAGTCATTTATTCATCAGTCATTGACTGAGACACAACAATACATAAAAAAGACTGACTGGACCTAATCTGGCCTTCCAGGACTTTGAATTTTCATCGAAAAGACAGAAAAAATAAATACGAACAGAAAAACAAATATTAATAATTGCAGACTTGAGAATATGTTAGAAGGAAATAAATAAGGGAGAGCAGTGGATAATGAAGGAGGCTGATTTTAGTTAGCTTTGTTAGGAAAAGGAAGCTTTTGAGAAATAATCTTTTTAGACCAAGGGAAGAGAAGAAATTAGGTAGCCTCAGTGAAAGTGTGGGGAAGAATGCTTGAGGAGGCCCAGAAGGCATGTGCAAAGGTCCTGAGGCCATAGGGTGCTCATCCCAGCTCGGAAAGTAAATAAAGGAAACAAGCCTGAATGCAGCACAAAGGTCTTTGCACATACATATATTCCAGTATTTATAAAAATGTTATATAATTGGCAATTCATGTGTCTGATTTTACATTTTTAAATAATGTTATTAACTCTGTAAAAATTATAATCAATACATATGCATATAGAAACTTTTGAGAAGCAAAAAAAAAAAAGAAAAAAGCAAAAACCCCAGAAAATAATTAGGGCCTAAGGCAAACCCTAATCCATAGGCAATGACTGTGACCATTTAGGTGTAATTTTACATAATCTATGCATATAGACAAATATGTATATATATACATTTCTATATATGTACATATACAGATATAGACCTATATACATAATTATTCTGTATTATAAACAATAAATACTTTGATATACACACTGCCATCTCATTTCTAAAATAGTTTTGTAATCTATATCCACTTAAAAAGATACCAAGAAAATATTTACATACATAAGTATCACAATTATGCTAAGATTTTAAAAATCAAAATAATGTGTCACTTTTCATGAAAAGGTTTTTGTTTTATTGAAGTTGTGTATTTTTATGTTAAAATTTTTCTTTACTGAAAACACATTAGAAAATGTTTTAATGTTCAAGCTATCATATAGTAGTAGGATAAGTCATCCCACTTATGATTATTCTTTTAGTGACTTGAAGAATTCTATTTGATAATGATTTTTTAGGATTTTTATATCTATATCCTAAAGCAAGACTGACATATAGTTCTCTTTTTCTATTTTTTCCTTATTTCATGGTAGAATCAGGCTTTATTTATTATTGTAGAATTAGCTGGGGAAACTTTTCTATGCTCATAAACCTCTATGTGATAAAAATTATGTGTCTATTTGATGATAGATCTCTGACTATATTTGTACTTATTCTCTGGCTTTTGGTATATTCAGCTTGTCTATTTTCTTTTGGGTTAATTTTTTTTTAATCTTTTAATGAAAATAATTTATTTTATGTATATTTTAAATTACAAGGATATAAAATTGCACCTAACACTATAGTGTTTTTTCTTATTTCTTCTTGTTTCCTTCCTCACTACCTTAACCAGGGTTTGTTTCTTTACTAGGTTTCTTGTTTTTTGTCTAACAAAGGACAACATATAGATTCCAGAGGTAGGATGGGAATCTACCCCTGTTAAATGTATTTAATCAGCTTATCTTTCTTTTTTTTTTTCCAATACAGCAAAATTCATTCAATTATTTAACAAAAATATTTTTGAGCACTTGTGAAATGGCACTCTTGTAATCAACATTTTATAGAGTTAAAATGAATATCTCAAAGACTTAAAATCCTGAAAGTCACCTTGTGTTGGGGATGGAGTTGAGATTTTGGGTTTCTGATTTAATCCAGCCCGTCATCTTGAGTGGGGACAGGAGAGAAGAGGAGCAGTGACTTGTGACTTTCTCACCTGGCCTGCAGCATGGGGCTGGGAGGAGGCCGGAGCCTGGGTCAGGATTTCCTCCTGTTTTATCCCTGGATCAGTGTTCTTGCCATCATCTCACAAGGTCACCTCCCATCACAGCTCACGTGAGCCATCCTCAAGCCTGGCTTCTCATCTAGTCTCAGTCAAGCGCTTTGCCTTTTTCTGTGCTCCCACAGTGCAATCTGGAGCCTGTAGCATCCTGGCTTAAAATGTTTTCCAGCCTCATGCCTCCAACACCACAAAGGAAGATAAAGGATTAGAGAACTTTTAGAACAGGACCATCTACTTTCACTAACATCTGTTATCTTTCTACAAACAGGAGTTGCTCACACCTCAAAGTAATGCAAAGTTCTCTGGTTGCTAGTCCCTTTCTAAATCCCAGATTCCCTCACTCTGCTGACTCTCTTGTCAGGGAGCTCCACTTCCATTTTATTTTGGGATTGTGGTAGGAGTGGGATAGGTAGGCAGTCTATGTACTGCAAGGTAAGTTGGTGCTCTCTGGCCCCTTTAGTGATGTACCCCCAAGCCACATGTGGTCCATGTTCTGATATTGGGTTTCTTCTTGAGTTCTCTGGAAGAACTATCTAACAACGAAAAGCGTTTGAATAGGGTTCAGCTCTGAAGGAGTTCGTCGACAATTTATTTGTATTCATTTTAGGATTTCCAGAAGTGTTCTAAAATAGCGTATTGTTTATAAAGTAACTAAAATACTAAAGTTAACACAGAAACATACAGAAATGGCACATTTTATGACTTGAAAAAGCTTTGAAGACTCAAAATAGCTACCTCATAAAAATATGCAATGTTGCCTAATATTTTCTAGGACTAGAAATGCATGGCACAAAAAGAAAGTTTAGGAAAGAAGAGAGTATAAATTCTGTAGTATCTGGAGACTTCTGAAACTTTACATAGATGTCTTTACATAGATTATCCCATTTCATCCTTGTAACAACATTGTGAAGTAGGAATTCTTAACAGCACCTAGGAGCAGAAAGGTTTAATAACTTGGCCAAGGTCGTACAGCTAGTTAGTGGTAGATCTAGAACATGAACCCAAAGAGTCCAATACATGGTCAATGTGATTTATCAGTAAGTGGTTTCATTTAGTGACAATTAAAAATTAAAATTGGACAATTGTCATGAATTTCCCTTGGTGATATATAACATTATGTATACATATATATGTCAAATCTATTTATAATTCTATGTCACAAAGTAAAATATATATATATATATCTGTTTCAATCAAATACCAATTTGATAACTCAAATTTTAAAATATTGAAAGTTACTTTATCAGGAATGTGGCGATACAGGTCTTTGGAACTATTTTTGATGTCAAGTTACTAATGTATGTTTTAAATAGAAAAGTCAGAAATCTTACGTCTCAGAAAAGATTATGGGGTGACTTGGTTAATATCGTTGTTGTTACTGTTATTGTTTTCCTATGACATCATTGACTTCAGCTGTCAATGGTCTATAAAAGCCCAACTGTGATTCTATGATTCTTTGATTTTGTCAATATTTGCAATACTCTGAGAATTTATTTTGTAAACTGAGCATCATTATTCCCAGTGACATTTTATAGTTCCAGAGATCCTACAATAAAAAATTTTGATTTACTGTAAATTGGCATTTATCTCTTATAGCTGTACCTCTCTCTGGCTGACCTCCATGTTAAATAAGCAGGTACAAGTTTCTAGTCAGCAACTTGAATTTTCCATAAGACAACATTGTTTTCAGGTGATAAATTTTTTTTTTAAATTAGCTTTCTTAAAAAAAATTGTGTGTGTGTGTGTGTGTGCGCATGTTTGTGTATCAGGTATGAATCTTGGATTACAAATTGTTTTCTTATAATTTGACTTAATTTCTGAACCCCTCTCCAGTTTCCTTTGACTAGCAGGAATTTTAACCACATTGATTTTTATGACTCCTAGCAGTAGCAGCAAAGTTGAGCCACCAATCCAGGCCTTCCCAAATGTGAACCAAAATGTAGAAATTACAAAGAAATGTTGGGAAAACTGAGTAGTACATGAAAATATAACCACACATCCAGAATGAAGACTAGAAACCAACATCTGGTTGATTCTAGTTTCAATCCAATATTGAGAAAATCAATATCCAAGAAGGAAGACTTGGGAAATCTATAAGCTTTCAGAGACCATATTTTCGGGATGGTGGCAATTTAGAAAAAGACTGGAGATAGACATTCTTAGAAGATTTAATAATTTAGCATGTATTTTTGTCTTTAAAGGGACCCTTTGGGTATTATTGGATGATTTAGTATCTCAGGGAAACAAACAACAAAGCATCAAAATTAACTATGAAATGACTATTGTCTTGTTATAAATTATGAAACTTCAATGTTTCAGTGCACCCTAAGAATTGTGGTCTTTCCTCATTATTAATTGCCAAGAAATAACAAAGGAGAGAGTTCATCACAAATAAATAACATTTGTAGAAAAGAGAATCAATGCTGTAATACTATAAACTGTGAAGAGTTAAAAATCAAGAGTGATTTTGATTCAAAATATTCTAGTAAAAGTGTCTATGGAGAAACTTGCTTATTCTTTCATAAAGTGCAAGGTAAGTAACTGAAAAATCTAAGTAATTAATTTTTTAAAAGAAGGTCAGCAAATATGTTCTTTGAGTTGTGAGTTCACAATTTGCCATAAAATCTGTAGTGTTTATTTCAACAAGGGAATACTTGTGTGAAGAAATTTTTAAATTATTTTTTCTTTTTTAAAGTTGTCACTGTCATGGGAAAACAAATACCTTTGAAAATTGGGTTTTGAGAAGACTTTTACCCAGAAACTGATACTTTCCCCTTATTTAATGGATCAGTTTGGATTTTACTAGCATTCTTTAAAATTCTCTTTCATAAAATGGAAAAAGAAGTTTTGTTTGAGAAAATGTTTTCCTCATATGAATTCATTCTGAACAAGAACTTTTCTATTAAGTGTAGAAAAAAAGCTTATTTTCATTATATTTTGTATTTTAAATGCAATAAGTCACATAAATTCTACCTACATTTCATTGCTTTTGGAAAAGAGGCACTTCAAGGAGCTTTCCTTCTTAGAAACCACTGGTGAATGACTCAAAACAAAGATCCTCATGCCCTGTAGATGATCAGAACCTCGGAGGGACTTACTCCAAACATATGACTGCCTCTAGAATCCTGTATTTGATCAGAAGGTCAGTACAAATTAAAAACAGAGCAATTGGAAAATTTGCTTCATTGACAAGTAGCTGCTTAGGACAATTAGGAGCTTTCTTTTCTTGACTTTGCTAAGATAACCAAATTTTATTAAGTAAAACATAGCTAAGACAAAGTGCACTGAATCGTTATAGTATGCTGGAGCACGTGGGGCTTAGAAAATTATTGAAGAGAAGCAAGTTTGTAGTTCTATACCTGCCCCTAAGAGGATATTTTTGCTAGGTTCATGTAAGAGTAATCCATCCATTACCTAAAATGTCAGCTACTAAAGTTTTAGGTATCACTGGATGAATTTGTGAAGTAGTGCTAAATATTTGCTTCATTCTAAAGAAAATGCGCCCAGGGCTAATTAATTAACATGACAATCAGTAAAGTTTCTGGTAGATTTGCCCAACATTCACCACCTCTTCTGCTACACTTTCCTACTTCTGTCTAAAGTAGTCAAGTTCATCACCACTTGGTGGTCCTCGTCCTCACGATGTTCATGATTTCAGAGGGAACAGTGTACTAATGAAAGTTGATCAACTGAGGACATTAGATTTGTTTGATTTGTAGATGAGTATGTCGAGAGCCCTTAATTTAATGGGTTGTGTACTCTTCATACTCGTACATAAGCCAGGGTTTTAGAAATCTTAAGGGTGTAATGTAAAAGGCAAAATACTACAGGCAAAATTGAAAAATAAATATAACTGTGGCTGAAAATTGTCATGCTTAATTTTTCTTGAAAGGATTTTGATTAGTGCTTCATATTCGTACTAGTAAAATAAACAAAAGTACTTCATTTTTCTACTAATATTGATTTGGTATACCTTTTAAGTATTCTCAAATATTTTCTTCTTTGACTATTATATTGGTCGAAAGTAGTGGCATTCATTAATGATAAAACCCACATTACTTTTTAGTTGAAAATGACAATTTAAATAAAATAATTTGATATGCTCTTTGAAAAGATTTTGCCTTATTAAGCACTTGTGAACTTTTAAATTTTCTTTTATTCACTTTTTCACAGATTCTTTATTTCAAAGAAGTCAGAGCTCTTTACAAATAACGAAAATTATTCAAAAAGTTACATTTCAAAATAACTTTGAACGGTATAAGTGAGAGCAGAATAAATAGCTTTTTGAATAATGATTTGGATGAGACTTTTCTCAGAACTCAAGCTAAATTAGTTATTTTTCAAGCTTGAAAATGTTTAGCTAGCTTTTTGCTCTCTACCTTACATTATCTGCCTGACACAGTCTGCCTTTCCCTGAAAGTAATAGTGTTGAAATAGACACAGAATCTACATGACCGTGTGTGGGAAAGTGTGGCTTGGTGGACAGACTGCTGGATAAATAGGCAATGCATCCAGACATCTACTTCTCATCTCTCTCTCTTCACATGGTACTTGATTTTAATACTACAATTCAATTGCTTGGGCTGCATGGACCCATCTTGAAAATAAAGAAAGAATGTCTGGTAACAGCAGTATGAACAACTGGTAATGATCCGTCTTGCCATTATAAACAGTAACACTTATCTCTCAGATTTGGTCCTCATCATCCGTTTTGCTTAGTTACTTTATGAACATAATGAAACTGTTTACCATTTTAACCTAGAAGGTTCGAGGAGAAAACCATTTCTAGCCAAATCAATTGTCTTCCTAACTCAAGGAAAGTATTTACGAGCAAACAAGTTAAATGTCTTCCATACAGAGGAGAGAGCCCAGCAAACGTTAAAAGAGGTCAGCTAGACTTTGTATCCATCTTAATAGTTATTGCAGCTCATTCCTCTCACAGAATCTCACAATTCCCACATTCTGGTAATGTGAATGTTAACAACGTAGTTCTGGTATATTGTTTACCATCTTTAAAATTCCTGCAAATTAAAGAAATCTCTCATTCAAATAATAGTATAAACATGACTTTCTTAGCCAACTAAAATGTTTAGATTATCTAACTTTTGGATTTTTTGGTATAATTGCAAGTTGTAAAATATTTGTATTAGACATAGTTATAAACATGAAATGGATTTTAGGCATAGACTGATGAATGTTATTTCTCTTCTTAAAAGCTTGAAACTAAAATAATATGCTTTTGAAGCTATCATTTTTGTTAACAACTTCTGATTTTAATTTCTATTTTTATCTGTTGATCTTTATACGTGAATTTGTGCTTTTATTTTATTTTATTTTATTTTTAAAGAGGGAGTTTCACTGTGTCTCCCAGGCTGGAGTGCAGTGGCGCAATCTCAACTCACTGTAACCTCTGCCTCTCGGGTTCAAGTGGTTCTCCTGCCTCAGCCTCCCGAGTAGCTTGGATTACAGGCATGCACCACCACGTCCAGCTAATCTTTGAATTTTAGTAGAGATGGGGTTTTGCTGTGTTGTCCAGGCTGGTCTCAAACTCCTGACTTCAGGTGATCCGCCTGCCTCCACCTCCCAAAATCCTGGGATTACAGGTGTGAGCTACTGCACCCGGCCCTGAATTTATTTTTTTAATAATCTACAAACCCTAAATTGCATTTACAACAGATATTACTAAAATAATACAAAATAACCAAAAGACAAAACTGGATATAGCACATTTATTTACTGTAATAATTCTCTCACTGTTACAGAAAATTAACATTAATGCTATGACAGTGTTTTAGTTTGAGTTGCTTCTTACAAAAGTTTTCACACTGGGTATTCATTGTTGTTGTATCAGGCTGCTCTTGCATTGCGATAAAGAAATTCCTGAGGCTGGGCAATTTATGAGGAAAGAGGTTTAATTGGCTCATGATTCTCCAGGTTATACAAGAAGCATAGCATCATCTGCTTCTGGGGAGGCCTCAGGAGGCTTACAATCATAGCAGAAGGTGAAGTGGAAATAGGTACATCACATGGCAAAAAAAAAAAGAGAGAGAGAGAAAGAGAGTGGAATGGTGAGGGAGGTGTCACACACTTTTAAATGCCAGATCTCATAAGAACTCACTATCACGAAGACAGTACCATGCCATGAGGGATCCTCTCCTATGATCTAAACACCTCTCACCAGGCCCCAACTTCGGCATTACAATTAACATGAGATTTGGGTGGGGGCAAATATCCAAACTCTATGTTATTTATCTCTTGGGAGTGTATGAATGTCAAACATTTCATAACTATGAAGTGATGTTCCTTAGAGATTCCTGAAGTGGGGGATTCGTGGACAAGGGGTTCAGTGTGGAGGCTTCCCAGGGTCACTGCCCTTCCTGATCACTATATTATTTGGAAAAGCAACCATCTGTGAGATCCACAGAGAGGACTGGACAGCAAAGAAGCATCCTGAAAGAAAGAGGAATAGAACCACAATAATAAAAACGTGGAGGGAGACCCTCTGAGGAATGGCTTTAGAAGATATGATAAGAATTTAATGTTCATATCATTGCAAGGGTCAAATGCCCTGGAAAGACGCATTTAAGTTTGGAAATGTAAGTTTGTGAATGTCCTATTGTAATGAAAAGGTGAATGGGAAGCATCATCCCATACCCACTAGATAAGAAAGTCCTAAGGTGGGGCCTAGGTGTCTGCGTTTGAAATGTCCACTCTCATGAACAGCAGGATGGAAGACGGTTCCCTGGATGCAGAAGGAGGCTTAGGAGGCTGACTGAGGAATCAAAGAGGCAGCTTCTTATCTCAGAAGATCTTCAAGGACACAAGATAATAGTTACTGAATACAGTTTTAACTCTGCCAACACAATAGCACCTACATGCAATAAACTCTCATGAGTTTACTACTATAGTTTTTTGCTTCATCAAAAATAATCAATTATGAGGCTTTTGCTGGTACAGAGAAAGTATAAGAGGAAATTCTGGGGATTTGTCTCCTCCATCATTCTACACTGAGTTAGACATAAGCAAATTCTATCCAAGTTTTGTCGTCCCCTTCAAAATGCTCAACGTGTACTATGACAGGAAAAATACTACGATGTTGTGTTGCTTCCCAAAAGACATGACCAAAATGAAAAATACCCTTCTACCTTAATCAAAGCATTACTGACTTTTGAACTATTACTGACATTTCTTTTAACCTTCCAATTCATTGCCCCTTCCCTTGAGGGAAGGTAGGAAAAGGGAGTTAATGAAGATAAAACAAACCCAAGCTAATAAATATGTGTACTTTTTAAGCAAGTGGTATGGGTAAAAAGTTTGAATGATTAAGGATAAATGGGCTGTGTGCTGTAATCCTAGCACTTTGGGAGGCTCAGGGGGCTGATCACCTGAGGTCAGGAGTTCGAGACCAGCCTGGCCAACATGGTAAAACCCCATCTCTACTGAAAATACAAAAGTTAGCCGGGGGGTGTGGGGTGGCGATGGGCACCTGTAATCCCAGCTAGTTGGGAAGCTGAGACAGGAGAATCTCTTGAACCCGAGAGGCACAGGTTACAGTGAGCCGAGATTGCGCCACTGCATTCCAGCCTGGGAGACAGAGCAAAACTCTGTCGAAAAAAAAGAAAAAAGAAGGATAAATGAATCTTATATGTGGATCCAACTTATTTTATTATTTCCTATTAAGTTACATAATTCTCAGTTTTTTGGAAGGTATGAAACATCTACAAAATAAAATACCTGATACCATATTACCACAATGATATTTTATGTATTAATATTTGTCTACAAAACCTGACATGATGTAAGTCACACACACTGCAGTTATACACTGGAAAAATAAAATGTCTATGTTAGAAATCTAGGTATCCTTGTTCTTAGTAAATGTTCATATTTTTCCTACAATAAACCTTTCTTCAAAATTGAAAATTTACTGTTAGTACTTTAGCTCCATAGAGGAAGTATAGTTTTGGTCATGTGAAGAACTGGGTGTTCATTTTAAAAAGGATGAGCAACTGAGTAGAATGCTCTCCACACTGGTCAAAACTGAGAGTGGAAATTTAATGGTGCCCATGCTACCACCAGCATCAGCCATCGGTTTTGTGTTTCCTCTGACTGAGGCTATTGGCTTAGTGAGAAAAGTTGCTAGCCTTAGAAAGAATTTGGATGACAATGGTAAATTCACAAGAAAAACTATTTCCATGGTTACTATTTTAAATAATGTGAAAATAAGGATTGTTTAGATATGACCTGTATCATTTCAATAAGATAACAAATATCTTGTTTTATTTATTTCATGAATCACTTCAATGGGGATACCAAATAAAGGTGAAACATAGAGCAGAATCATTCTCAAAATATAATTAGTTAAGAGAGAAACTAACTTAGGAATTGGTGTTTTACAGAATAAAATTACACACAGTTAAAGACTATTGAGCATGTATATGTAGCTGTGGAAAAATGTATTAAAATACAATAATCTAACTATTCCAGCCATGAATTTTAATATTTAAAATATTTTTTGCTCTTTTTAAAGAGATGGTTCCTAAACCTACCATTCATTTTGTTTAAAGATATTATAGTATTCTTTTATCCAACACATATGTTGTGAAGTGTTAAGCATTATTTTCAGTAGGTATTTATTAGAATAAAAACTATTTAAGACATGAACAGTTATTACTCTCTCAAAGTTTAACATCTAGCAGACTAACTAATAATTTAGAAAGTGCCTAAAATGTAAGGGAGTGATGAATGACTTTTGAATATTTAAGAAAGCAAATTATTTCTTCTGGATAAAGCATTTAAAATACATGGTTTCAGGTGAATTTGAAACACAGGTAAAAGTTTGTCAGTCAAAATAAAGGCAGCAAAACCTACACACTTAATAAAGTAAATAACATTAACAAACCCACCAAAATGCAGACACTGTATATGAAAAACAGAAATAAAAATTGACTCACAAGTTTGGAAAAAGCAACAAGAACCATCAAACAAGAAAAAAAGAAAAAAAACACGTAATTTTTAATACTGTTAGTACTTTCTTCGTAGATAGATGGTCATTTTATACTGAGAAAGATATAACAATCATAAAATATAATAATCATGAATCTGTATGTGCTATATAATATAGCATCAAAACTATAAAATCAAAGGCACTGTGTTAGTATAGACTCTGAAAGTATGATACCTATATAGTAGAAGAACACAGCAAAAAGTAAAACAAAAATTTCATCATAGTGACTGAATGCACAAGATTCCAGTGATGGAGGGAGGGAGAGGAAGGGACAGAACACACACTAGAGAAAAGCTTAACATTTTTTAAAAACCGGAAATCACATGAAGAAATACATACCATGATAGAGAATGAACAGAAATAACAAAAAAAAGTAAGCCCAGATAGATCTGTAAAATTACAATACATGAAAAATGCATTTAATTTGTCGTTCATGAATTTACAGATATTCATATAAAATTTTCAGCATAAAATATAACAGCACAAAAAGTTTTAAAACAAATGACAAAATGCTATACTTAATAACAAATAACAAATATTAGACAGCAAAGAATTACTAATATCAGATCACATACATACTAAGAGAAAATAGCTATTACAATTACTGAGGGATATTACATAATTGTATAGAAATTTTTTTTAGGAAAATACTACAATAATGCACCCAATAATATTTGATAAATATTGATAAAACAGCTTCTAAATATATAAAGCTTTAGTTGAGGAAATTACAGTGTAGGATTTTAAATAAACAAAACCTAATGCAAATTTTTAAACACCTATGATAGAAAGTGATAGAATACATAGAACAAATGATAATAAAAACACTGATTTTAAGTATTCAAACTTAAATGTTAAGAAGATTGAGCTAGTTAATATTCACAGAGTCTTGCAACCAACAATTAGAGAATAATATATATTCACTTCAAGTGTACATGAAATATTTACCAAAAAATATTTATGTGGGACAATAAGAATATATGTATTGTAGAGATCATATCAGGTCCTCCGACCACACAGCAATAAAATTAAAAACTGTCATCATAAAACCATCTTCAAAAAAAAATAAAGAAAAGAAAAAAGGTACAAGGAAGGGGAGGAAAAAAAAGAAAGGAAAAAATACATGTGAAAAATACTTATTAATAAAATAAAAATTTTAATGGAAACTGTTCTATTTAAGACTAAATAACAAGGAAAGAATTGCCTATTAAAACATGTATCATGCAAATACATTTTTAATTTTAGGCAAAATTCAGTATTGGATGCATATATCAGAAAAATAGACCAAAATCAAGTAGCTCAGCATCCAAATTAGAAAGCTAGTTAGGAAATAAAATAAATCTAGATATAAGAGGAAAGAAATAATACTGACAAAATATTATAGGGGAAATATAATGAAATGGAAGGCAAGGATACAAAAGTAAAATACTTTTTAAAATATAATAGAATGGGGAAAATGAAAAAATATTTATAAAGGTGAAATGGGTTCTTTAAAATACTCATATAACAATATCTCACAATATTGATTTTAAAAAAGGGAAGAAAATGGACAAACTTCTAGCTTATTAATTGTAGAGGAGACAAATTAATGTGGAGATCTTAAAAAAAATTAAGAGTAAACTATGTACTAGTTTGAAACAAGCTGGCCATTCTTGTTATTTATTGATGAAGCTGAAAACTGTCCAGGTTCAACTGTTCCTGCCCTATTTCTAGGCCCCCAATTAAATACCTTGTTTAATAAGTCTATTAGATCCTTTACACTATCAGCAAAATTGATTCCAGTCTGATTAAAGAGCTAGATAAATAAAGGTAAGTTCAATACTTCTAAGAAGATTTCAGAAAATTTTCTTTGACTTTGGAACAAAAGTGATTAACTCATAAAAAGCACAACTCTTAAAATAACACCAATAATAATAATAAATAAAATCATCTACAGTGTAAAGCAGCATAAATCAGATTTTGAAAAAAACCCACAGACTTAGGAAAGATAATCATAACACAACTTTCAAATTGACTCACTACCTGAATAACTTTTACATTTCATAGGAATAAAAATGTTCATCAACCTAAATATAAAAAGGCAAAAGAACAATATTAAGTGTCATCTGAATGGTTAATAAACACATAGATAAAAGCTCAACTTCTTTAGTAAGCAGAAACCAAAAAATGCAAATCAAAGCAGCCAAAAGTTTCCACTTCATAATCATCACATTGGCAAAAATCATAAAACGAGGCAATAAAACTTTTTGAGAAAAATATGGAAAAATGGAACTTTCATACACTGTTGGTAGGATTAAAAACTACTGGCAACATGATTAACTTGAAAATGAAGATAGTATACAACTCAACAATTTGCTTTCAAATCCTCCCTTAACTAAGCTGTCAAAAATGTACAAGAATTGCCATTGCAAAATTGCGTATAATAAAAAAACTAGAAAACATTGTTCAAAATACAAGAAAGATGATGTATTATGATTTATTCTTAAGAGGAAATACTGCATGGTGGCTCATGCCTGTGATTCCAACATTTTGGGAAGCTGAGGCAGGAGGATTGCTTAAAGTCAGGAGTTTAAGGCTAGCCCGGGCAATAAAGCGAGATGTCATCTCTACAAAAAATACAAAATAATAATCAGGGGCTGTGGTGGCACATGCCTGTAGTCCAGCTTCTCGGGAGGCTGAGGTGGGAGGATCTTTTGAGCCCAAGAGTTTGAGACTGTAATGAGCTATAATTGCACCACTGCACTCCAGCTTGGGTGATAGAGTGAGACCCCACCTATTAAAAAAAAAAAAAAAAAGAAAAAAAAGAAAGAAAAGAAAGAAAAAAAGAAAGAAATAGTTCAAAACCCTCAAGATTAGAGTAGATTATGTCTAAATGTAACAGCATGTTAAATCTGGGAGGCATAATATTGACAGAAAAAAGTTGCAGGATGAAGAGATCTTTATGATACTAATTATGTAAACTTTAAGTTCATAACATGTTATTTATATTATATGGATAAATAAATATATTAAAGTATAAAACTTGCTTGGATTGGTGCATGCCATCTTTAGAATAGGCACCTTCAAGAAAGGAGGGCAATAAATGGGAGAAGACACTCAAAGAAAACTGTGTCCACAACAACAATGCATCAAATATGGCAAATATGTACATTTTTATCATGTGGATGATGAGTGTATGTGCACTGAATTATTTTTGTAATCCTGTGTATTGAAATATTTGATTAAATTAAGTTAAGTGAGGCGAGACTTGAATTTCAACTGACACTAAGAAAACTCAAATCAGCTAAAGCTGATAGAAAATCTATTGACTCATGATTTTAAAATGTATAGGCAGCAGGCACAGATAGATTCAGGTGTTCAAATAATATAATGAGTAGTGATTCTCTTTCTCTTATTCTCATTCTCTCCTTTGATATTTACCCTATGTCTTTTCTTTCTTCCTCTTTTATCTCAATTTCTTCATTATTTTATTCTGGCTAGCCCTCTCTACATGATGGGATATGTGGTCTCAAGTACCTTTCCCTTTACATGGCCTCTGCATTTTTATTATAAAGAGATAAAGTATTATGACCAATCTCCCAAAATGGAACTGAGTGGTCTGACATTGGACAAAGGTTGGACAAAACCTCTCAAGGATTAGAGGAGAGTAAGACTGATACTTAGAAAATGTGCATGAGTCAGACCCTATTGGTTCTTTATGACTGGCATCTGTTCTCAGTGGTTGGCAGCCTATTCAGAATGGTCAGTACAGGCACTACACTGGTTATTAACTACTTTTAATGATATTTCTTGGAATAAAGTACCTTCATTGGTTGGCCTTAGTGAATGCTGGGTGAAACAGCAATCCTGATTAACAACCAAATGCAAAGGAAAAGGAGAACCTCCTAGAAAGACGTCAGGCAGGTTGATGTCATGCCATTTGTCCATTTTTGCTTGGATTTCCTATGCTTTTGAGGTCTTACTCAAGAAATATTTACCCAGATCAATGTCCTCAAGCATTTCCCCAATGTTTTCTTCTAGTACTTTCAGAGTTTCAGGTCTTATATTTAAGTCTTTAATACATTTTTATTTGATTCTTCAATATGGTGAGAGGAGTCTAGCTTCATTCTTTTGCACATGGATATCCAGTTTTCCCAGCACCATTTGTTTAAGAGACTGTTCTTTTCCTAATGTACGTTTCTGGCACCTTTATCAAAAATCAGTTGACTGTAAATGTGTGGATTTATTTCTGAATACTCTATTCTATTGGAATATGTGTCTGTTTTTTATGCTAGTACCATGCTGTTTTGGTTACTAGAGCCTTGCAATGTATTTTGAAGTAAGGAAATGTGATTCTTCCAGCTTCGTTCTCTATGACTGCTTTGGCTATTCTGGGTCTTTGGTGGTTCCACATAAATTTTAGGAGTTTTTTTTTTTCTATTTCTGTGAAGAAATGTCATTAGTACTTTGAGAAGGATTGCAATAAATCTGTAGATCACTTTGAGTGGTATGGACATGTTAACAATATTGATTCTTCTAATTCATAAACATGGGATATATTTTCATTGATTTTGTGCATGTCCTCCTCAATTTCTTTTATGAATGTTTTATAGTTTTCATTGTAGCAGTCTTTCACTTCTTTGGTTATGTTTATTCTTAGGTATTTTTTTCTGTAGCTATTGTAAATTGGATTGCTTTCTTCATTTCTTTTTCAGATTATTCACTGTTGGCATACAGAAATACTACTGATCTTTTTATGTTGATTTTTTATGCTGCAAACTTCCTGAATTTATTAGTTCTAATAGTTTTTTTGTGGAACATTTAGATTGTTCTAAATAAAAGATTACATCATCTGCATAGAAGGATAATTTGACTCCTTCCTTTCCACTATGAATGTCTTTTATTGTATTTATGTATTTATTTATTTATTGAGACAGAGTCTCACTCTGTCGATCAGGCTGGAGTGCAGTGGCATGATCTTGGCTCACTGCAACCTCTGCCTCCCAGGTTCAAGCAGCTCTCCTGTCTCAGCCTCCTGAGTAGCTGGGATTACAGGCACGCACCACCACACCTGGCTAATTTTTGTATTTTTAGTAGAGATGGGGTTTCAGCCTGTAGGCCAAGCTGGTCTTGAACTCCTGACCTCGTGATCAGCCTACCTCAGCCTCCCAAAGTGCTGGGATTACAGGCATAAGCCAAAGCGTCTGGCCAAATGTCCTTTATTTCTTTCTCTTGTCTAATTGCTCTGGCTAGGACTTCCAGTATTTTGTAAATTTAAAGTTGTGAAAGTGTACGTTATTGTCATGTTTCAGAGCATACAGGAAAGGCTCTTAGTCTTTCCCCATTCAGTATTATACTAGCTATGAGTTTTTCATATATAACCTCTACCATGTTTAGGTATGTTCCTTCTACACTCAGTTTGTTGAGGGTTTTTAATCATGGAGGGATGTTAAATTCTATTGAATCCTTTTTTGACATCTATTGAAATGATTATATAGATTTTTTCCTTCATTTCACATCATTGTTGATGTGATGTTATCATGTTTTTTGATGTGCATGTGTTTAGCTGTCCTTGTATAGATAAAAATAGTGGATGCAGATAAGGATGTGGAGAAAGGAGAGTGCTCATACAATGTTGGTGGGAATGTAAATTAGTACAACCACTATGTAAAACAGTATAGAGCTTTCTCAAAAAAACTAAAAGTAGAACTACTTTGTGACCTAGCAATCCTGCTGCTGGATATATATCCAAAAGATAGGAAATCAGTATATCAAAGACATATCTGCCCTCCCATGTTTATCACAGGACTATACACAATAGCCAAGATGTGAACTCTACCTAAGTGTTCACCAAGAGATGAACGGATAAAGAAAATGTACAGACACATAACGAAATATTATTCAGCCATTTAAAGAAATGAAATCCTGTCATTTGCAACAACATGGATGGACCTGGGGGACATTATGTTAAATGAAATAAGTCAGGCACAGAAAGACAAATATCATATGTTCTCACTCATATCTTGGTGCTACAGATATGATCTTATTGAGGTAAGAGGTGTAATAATGGTTAGCAGAGGCAGGGCAGGGTAGTAGTGAGGGAACAAAAATGGGTTGTATAATAGGTACAAAAATACAGTTAGATAGTAAAAATAATATGTAGTGTTTGGTAGCACAACAGGGCTACTATAGTTAAAAAATAAACTATTGTATATTTCAAAATAGACAAGTGGATTTGAAATTTTCCAAACAATGAAATGATAAATATTTGAGGGAATGGAATATCCCAGTTACCCTGATTTGATCATTACACATTCTATGCTTGTTTCAAAATATCACATGTACCCTATATATATGTACAACTGTTATATACCCACAAATATTAAAAATAAAAGCAGACAAAGTAAACTTGAAGTCAAAGAAGTCAGGCAGGGAAGACAACTGATAGCATCCAAATATGCAGAACAGCAAGTTGACATAAATCCAATATAAATATGAAATTTCAACATACTCCTCTCAGGTGTCAGTAGATTGACAACAGAAAATAAGGACGGAGAAGATTTGAAAAACATAACAAATTAGGTGGGACTAATATGTTTGCATCCTGTGAAGAACACAGTTGCTTCTCACACTTTCATAAAAAATTAATCATGTAGTGGATCAAAAAAATACTCCCGACTAAAAATTGTTCAGGCTGCAACTTCTGATCACAATCCATTAAAACTGTAATTAACTAAAGAAACTAAACAACTCCCAAAGTTCTAATAACCTCTTTAGTTGAAAATAACTTTTAAAAACTACCCTTCTCGACAACAATTAAATCCTGAGGAAATAAAATCTACCTTTGAAAATAATAAAAATAAGAATGGTTGGGGGAACACATATTCATGACTGTACATGGTTTGCCTCCAAATTATTACTCATTATTCTAAAACTTTAATCACTAGCAGCTTATTTTTATTCCTAGTCTTAAAAAATGACCAGGACTTCATGCTATTGTGAGCATATAGCAGAAAATCTAACTTTTGTGTCATCAGAGTTTAAGAATGAGAAGAAGAGGAGGTTAGGGCTAAAAATACTTGAAGAAATAATGACTTTTAAAATTTGCTGATTGATAAACACACAGATTCACAAAGTTATGCAAATCCCAAAGGGAATTCAAACCAAGACACGTCAAAATTAAACTTCTGAAAACTAAAGAGAATGAGAAAATCTTACGAACAGCTAGAGATAAAATAGTTCCATATCTGTAGAAGGAAAATTTATATTTTCAGTGGATTTTTTTTTTATCAGAAACTATGGAGGTCAGAAGGACTATTTCTAAAGTGCAGAAAGCAAAGAACTATCAAATCCAATGCTATGCCCAGCAAAAATATCCTTCAGGAGTAAAATAAAAATCAAAGCATTCTCAGACAAAGGATGAAAAGGATAATACCTTGTCAGAAGATTCACTCTAGAAGAATGGCTTCAGAATGTTCTACAAACAGAAAATAAACAGTGAAAAGAGGAACGTTATAAAAAAGAAAGAATATATTAAACAAAAATATGGGAAAATACATTGGTCTTTTCTTCTTATTTTATAAATTATGTTTGATGATTGAAGTAAAAATTATAGCATTGTCTGACGTGATTCTAAATGTATTTAGAAGGCACATTGAAGATAATTATGTCATAAACAACAGGGAGTAAAGGAATATAAAGGGAGGTAATGTTTTTAGACATCATAAGAACTGATAAAATAAGAATACTAGTAGACTGTGATGGTTATGACATAAGTATAAATAATGTAATAACAAGAGAAATAACTTTTAAAAGCTCTACAAGAAGATACATTCAAAAATATAATAGATAAAACAAAATTCTAAAAATTGTTCAAGTAACCTGCCATGAATTAAGGAAAGGAAAATAGTAAAACATATACCAGTAAGAACAAACAGAAAATAAAGACTTTTAAAATGATGACATAACCTTTAAAATGTCAGTAACTACATTAAATATAAATGGCCTAAATATGCCAATTAAAATACAGAGATTGAAAGAGTATATTTAAAAATATGATCCAACAGTATGCTGTCCATAAGAAATTTACTTGAAATGTAATTATATGGTCAGGTTGAATTAAAATAATAGGAAAAAATATTACATAAATATTAATGAAAGGAAATCAACACTATCTTAATAACATCAGATAATATTTTAGTGCAAAGAAAACTAAAGGGAAGAAGAGATAGATATATAATGATAACAGAGTCAATCCACGTAACAAGTCTAGATGGGTATGCATCAAATAACAAAATGCAAAATATTCACAACACAACTGGTAGAACTGAAAGAAAAAAAAAATCTGAAATTAAACTTACAGAATTCAACACATTCTTTTATCAATTTATAGAACAACTAGAGAGGAATAAACAAGAATATGTAAGAACTCTCCAAGACCATCATCAATTAACAGGATCTAATAGAAATTTGTAGAACATTTCACTTAACAACAGAAACATATACACTCTTTACAAGTGCTGAAGAGCATATGGAAACACAGACCATAAGCTGGACCAAAACCAAAAATCTCAAAAATGTCTTTAAACAATGAAACCAGACAGTGTGTATTCTCTGACTACAAAGGAATCAAACTAGAAATCAATAAAATAAAGGATAGCTCCAAACACTTGGGAACTGAATAGCATATTTCTAAATAATTGATGGGCCAATAAAGAGTCTCAATAAAAATAATTTTAAATTAAAAAGAAAGAAAATAAAAATATAACTAAAAATATATAAAAATATAAATGTTAAAATGTATATTTAATTTTAGTATATCTTAATTTAGTATAAATGTTAAAATTTATACTAAAAATATAAACGTTAAAATTTGTAGTACACAACTAAAACAGTGATGAGAGGAAGACATATAGCATGAAATGTATACCTTAGGAAAGAGGAGCAACTTTAACTCATTAAGCTATATTCTCTCATTAAGAACTAATAAAAAGAAGAGCAAAGTAAATCCAAAGCTAGCAGAAAAATAATATTATAAAAATTAATGCAAAAATCCATAAAATAGACAACAGAAAAACAATGTAGAAAATAAATTAAGAGCTACTTCTTTTACAAGATTAATAAAATTGACAAACTTTTTGTAAGACTGACAAAGAAAGCAAGAGAAAATATATAAATTACCAATATTAGAATGAAATAAAATATTACTACAGATCTTCAGTAATATAAAGAAAACTACAGGTCAATATCCTCATAAATATTAACACAAAAACATTTAATAAGTGATTGCAGCAATATAGAGAAATAATTATATACCATGATCATGTGGGATTTATTTCAGGGTAGCAAGTCTGATTTTAATATTTGAAAATCAATAATTATAAGCCACCCACTAACAGGCTAAAAAAGAAAAATGTATCTTATATCAATCAATATGGAAAAATAATTTATAAAAAAAACACTCATACATAATAAATACTCTCAGAAATATAGGAAGAGAGAGAACTTTATCAGCAAGTTGATAAAGAACACTTACCAAAAAAATCCTACAGCTAACATAGAACTTAGTGGTGAAATACCGATATTTTGTGTAAATTTAATGAGATATGCACAGTTCTTACATCCTGAAAACTATACAATATTAATGAAAGAAATCATAGATCTAAATAAAGGGAGAGGCATACTATATTCATGGATTTGAAGACTGAACATAGTAAAGATGTTAGTTCTCCCCAGAACGATACATCATTTTGATACAGTTCCTTCAAGCCAAGCAGATTATAAAATTTATGATGGAAAAGCAAATAAACTAGAATAATCAATACAATTTCAAAACAGAAGGACAAAGTGGGAGGAACTTGACTACATGACTTCAGGACTTATTACATAGCTACAATTATTGAAACTGTGTGGTATTAGCAGAGTGATAGTCAGACAGATAAAAGGAAAGGAGCAGAGAATCCAGAAATTGGCTCATACAATTATGCTCACACAGTTATACTTTTGACAAATATGACAGAGATTCCAAAATAATTCAGTGAGGAAATGATAGCATTTTTTAACAAATGGTCCTGAAACAATTGAATATCCACAAGGGTAAAAAAAAAATTAACTTATATTTTAGTCTCCTACTTTATAAAACTTTAATTCAAGATATTTTAAAGGCTTAAATGTAAAAAATAGGAGAAATGTTTTGGTATAGCATTGGAAAAAAGTATTCTTTGATTTCACACCAAAAGCACAATCTACAAAAGGAAAAATTGATAAACTAGATCTCATCAAAACCAGTTTCTCTGAAAAAAAAAAAGAATAAAAAAATCCCTGTTAAAAGGAATAAAAGAAAAGCTATAGATTGGAACAACATATTTGTGAGCCACATATCTGACAAAGGACTCGTATCTACACTATATTAAGAACTCTAAAAACTTACTCCGGAGTAAAAGAACAATCAGAAAAAGAACAAAGGCACAAAGACAGATTTCACATAAAAATGTAGAAGGCAACTAAGTACACAAAAGATATTTACCATCACTAGTAATCAGGAAATGCAAATTAAATCCACAATGAGATATTACAATACATTTATCAGAACAAGTGAAATATTCTGACAACACCTAATGCTGCCATATATGTGGAGAAACTGCTATTGAGTTACTATTGAAATGCAACTCACTTAAGGACTCTGAAATACTAAGAACTAACATAGCTATTAATGTTGATATTAATGTTGCATAAATGTTAAGAATCTCATAGCTAGGAGAGATGCTAGTGTATGTGTGTGTGTGTGTGTGTGTGTGTGTATAATTTTAAATCTAATGGATGTCAGAATGCTACGAATGATTATCCATACATTGCTAGTGGAAATGTGAAATGATGCAATCACTCTGGAAAACGGTTTCTTACACATGTATGGGAATCTATACTTTTCTCAATAAAAATGTTAATTAGGAAATATCTGTTTTTAGTGTTTAGTAATATATACTGGTGCACAACAACTGGTCAATAGTTGTTGACATGCCAGTCAGTTAAAATTTCTCCTGGGATCACTAATAACTGTCCACTGATAATCATTTTTCAAATTTACTTAAATTTACTTCCTAATTCACTTTGTGCCTGCATATATCATAGCTAGGAGAGATGCAAGTGTGTGTGTGTGTGTGTGTGTGTGTGTCTGTATGTGTGTATAATTTTAACTCTGATGGATGTCAGAATGCTATGTGGCTATTTGTCTCATACTTTCACAAAAGTAATTAAAATGTTTTGGGATTTTGGAGTCTATTTTCCTTTGTAGAGTACCCTTATTAGTATTACTATAGCTATTATTATTATTATTATTATTATTGTTATTTGATGTCCATTACTTTGTAGGTAAGGTATAAATTATTGAAATCATTTGCTTAAAAAAGTCACATCACTGGTCGATAATAATGTGTTTCAGACTCTAAAGGCAATCCCAAATAATGAATTCCAATAATTAGCCTTCTTAAATTTTAGATTTGTTTTTATTTCTGTATGAGAACTATATCAAAATAAATATGAAGAATCTCACCAAAGAAAAAGAAGATGTAACTAAAAGGCATTGGATATGTACTGAAGCACCAGGTGGTATAGGCTCAGCACACCAGTCTTCAGTATACTCCACACCAGTCTTCAGTAGTAATGAGGACGTTACTATTCCCATTTCACAGTAAGGAAATTGAGTTTCAGTGAAACTGAATTTTTATTTTAGAGAAAATGCTAAAATGAAAAAGCTAGTATTACAAAATCCACACTCTTTCAGTATATGAAACTCCCTCTCAAATGGTGGGAAGAAAAATCACCAGGATGTTTAAATTATGGTATGTTTACTTTTAAAAATGGATATAAATTTTTTGCCTTAAGTATACACACAGAAGAAATATTTAGAAAACTAAAACTGTGTCCGGTGTCATTTAATCCAATCTAATGATCTCATCTACTAAAAATGTATTGGTACTTTCCCTATTTATTCACAAGCAACATCCCTTGAAATATTATCTGACATAGATGTCTTTTTTCTAGATTTTTCTCAATAGTGACCTTATTTTGTGGATATTGCTGGAAATAATCCTCCAGTCACTCTTCTGGCCCCCTAAAATGCTTGGTTCCAGCATGTCACTAGTGATTTATGGCTACCCACTACTTGGCTTCATCAAGGTGGTAGAATATACATTTGCCCTCAGGAAATGAAAAGGAAACATAAATAAAAATTGCATGGTTGATTGGCCTGTTTCTGGTGAGGTAGGCCACAGTTAGAAGAAATCACTTTTTTCCCTCTCTTTTTCTAGCTTTCTCTATCACTAAAATAAATGGAATTTTTGTCTGGATGCCTTCCCTCCCTCACTTTTAAAATATAATTAAGCGTTAAATTATGTGATGTGAACTCAAAGTACTGAAGCACTACCGGTGGAAAAAAAGTTCAATTAGGTCTTGTGTAGTCAGAAAAGACCAGATTAAGAGTGTCTCACGATCAGTGAGAGAGGAGACCACTCCTGGCAGGAAAGTGGCTGGGCCAAATGCAAGCCATCATCCCTAAATATATGGGGTATAAGGAGATGGCTCCAGTCACAGCAGAGGCTGTGGTTGAGATAGAAAAGAATATAAGCTTATAAAACACTGTAAAATAATCCACAATGTGTCAGCAAAAAATGAATATGCATATTGAAATTATTTTTCAAATTATTTAATGATCATCATGAATTCAGAATAATGTGATTGTTGCTGAATATACATTGATAATAGGTTCTGAACTTTCTGTAATGCTTTAGAGTTTCAAAGGTGTTTCTTTTACATTTCTGCATTTGATGCAATCAGCAGCACTCTGCAGTACAGGAAGCAGGCATTGAACATCTTTTTACAGGTTGTAAAATTCAGTCTCAGAAAGGTAAAGATCTTGTCTAGTTCGTTCCAGGGAGAGTTGCCAACTGCTAGCTTATTTCCTTCTTCATGATTCTGTGTTGTGGATAAATTCAGACTATATGCCTTCACCCCTTCATCTATCTCCACATTCCCATCATGGCAAAAGTCCACCGTATTGCAAATGAAGTAAACATCTTATTCACTTCTCCTTCAACAAACTTCTTGTCTCCTTCAGGGAGGCCAAATGAAAAGAAGATAAAGGGGAACTAATCTATTGAGCAGCTATGATTTGCCTCTAGCTTTAAATCACCATAAAATTTGTATATAAAGTATTATGTATAAAGCACATTTCTTTTACACATACATAAATGCATGCATTCACATACACATGCACAATGAAATAACACCAAAATCAGTCAAATAACTTCTGCAGGTATACACAGCCAGGTGATGGAAGAGAAATGGTGGTGGACTCAAATATGCTATACGTTTCCAAATAGTTCTTCAGAAAAGTATTTGTACACAGCTTTTTTATATAGGATAATTGAGAATGAACAAACTTATTTTTATACTATTTATATAACATTGTCATAGAATCAGTATTATGAAGAATCCGAAGCTGAGAGATGCTAATGCTTACACTCTTTTACATTATCACACATTACCTAAAACTTCGGAGTTGTAGTCTGAGGATAGCACACATGTTTGCTAAAGCCTTAGATAACATTAGTCTTCTAGGTACCAGTCATTTTGTATTTGCATAAGTAGCTACTTTGCTACTTATTACAATTAGAAGATATCTAATTGAGACATAGAAAATCTATGAACAAATGATAGCACGATGTTTTTTAATGCTGAAATCACCAAAGAACATATAGCTTTTGTTTGAAGAAAATATGCATTGACATTAGCATGGTGCCTGCCTATTGGTGGGGATTGAATACATGGGACTTACAGCACAAGAGTTTGTGGTGATTATGGTAATGAGGGTAACGGGTAAAGTTGAAATTAAGTTTATCCTTGAAGTAATCTATTTGCAGGAGAATAAGTTTTGTTCTCTCCCAGAAAATCAGGTGTTGGGGCAATAAAAGGATAAGGAGACTGAAACTGACCTTTAGTTTCCAGTTATATTTTGGTTTAATTTTACATGTTTCTCATTTGTGTGTCTGTATGTTCTTGATGAAAGAAAACATTAAGTCAGTGTAGTTTTAGAACACCTTAAGTTATTGTTATAACTACACAGTAATATATAGATATTTAAGACCAAAAGCAAAATTTCATGAAGTATTCCATTAAATTTGTTAATGTCCCCTATGTGGAAAGACATAAATAGAGTTTTAGTAGTTATGTTTAACTATATTGACTCCCTTGAGAATCCATCCACAATGGTCACCCCAATCTGTTCCCAAATCATTAAGCCAGTTATGCAAACATCAAGATTGTGTATAATTTGCAGATCCAAGAAGAGGATACTTTTTTTCTCTCTTCTTCTTTTTTTCCTTATTCCTCAGCCATCCTTCCTTCTATCTCCTCTATATTTTCTTTTGCATTGTCCTATTTTCCTCCATTTTACAATGTATGTGACTCTCCCTCTTCCTCTGGCTTTATCATTGTACAGGTCATAGTAGCCATTCATCTACCCCCAAATGCCAGAGAAGGTGAAACATACCCAGAGTGTGTAACTAGGATCTCTGTGCAAGGGCCAGATTTACAAGGCATAGACAGAAGGCTCCCAGACACTCTCCTGCTACTGTCTATCTTCTTTTTGCTTGTTGTTCTTGGATTCCTGGATTTTCTTTTAAATTATTGGTATTACTATCTATAGTGTTAAAAATGCTATAGTATATAATACACGCTAGCCTAGTTTGTATAGTCATTATTTACAGTTATGGGTTTTTGAGTCACAGACCTGGATGAATTTCTGAGTTCTCCTATTTACTAACTATATGAACTTTGCCGAGTTACCTAAATTCTGTAAATAGCTTATAGAGTTAATTAAACTAAAAAATGACATGTAACAATGGTATGTAGCCCATAGGCTTATTTTCATGGTGCTAAGTGTTGAAAACTTTGTTAAGTGTAGTTCGTGGACCTAATAATAGAACCTTCCCTTCAAAGATGTCCATGTCCTAATCCCCAGAACCAGTGAATACCTTACCTCACATAGAAAAAAACACTTCTAAAAGAAGACATTTATGCAGCCAAAAAACACGTGAAAAAATGCTCACCATCACTGGCCATCAGAGAAATGCAAATCAAAACCACAATGAGATACCATCTCACACCAGTTAGAATGGCAATCATTAAAAAGTCAGGAAACAACAGGTGCTGGAGAGGATGTGGAGAAATAGGAACACTTTTACACTGTTGGTGGGACTGTAAACTAGTTCAACCATTGTGGAAGTCAGTGTGGAGATTCCTTAGGGATCTAGAACTAGAAATACCATTTGGCCCAGCCATCCCATTACTGGGTATATACCCAAAGGACTATAAATCACGCTGCTATAAAGACACATGCACAAGTATGTTTATTGCGGCACTATTCACAATAGCAAAGACTTGGAACCAACCCGAATGTCCAACAATGATAGACTGGATTAAGAAAATGTGGCACATATACACCATGGAATACTATGCAGCCATAAAAAATGATGAGTTCATGTCCTTTATAGGGACATGGATGAAATTGGAAATCATCATTCTCAGTAAACTATCGCAAGGACAAAAAACCAAACACCGCATGTTCTCACTCATAGGTGGGAATTGAACAACGAGAACACATGGACACAGGAAGGGGAACATCACACTCTGGGGACTGTTGTGGGGTGGGGGGAGGGGGAAGGGATAGCACTAGGAGATATACCTAATGCTAGATGACGAGTTAATGGGTGCAGCACACCAGCATGGCACATGTATACATATGTAACTAACCTGCATATTGTGCACATGTACCCTAAAACTTAAAGTATAATAATAATACAATAAAATAAAGAAAAAAAAAAAACAGAAAAAAAGACTTCTCCCACGTGATTCAGTTAAAAATCTTGAGATGAAGAGGTTATCCCAGATTATTCAAATTGACCCAATGTGATCACAAGGATCCTAATAAGAGCACTGTGTAAGGGCCAAAGCCATAAAGAGAAGAGAAGTGGCAAAGGGAGCAGAAGCTGGAGTGATACACTTTGTAATGGAGGAAGGGGTCACTAGCCAAGGAATGTGAATGGCTTATAGAACTGGAAAAGGCAAGGAAATAGAATGGTCTCTAGAGATTCCACAATGAATGAAGCTCCCTAAACCCATGATTTTAGCCCATAAGACCCATTTCAGACTTCTGTTCTCCAGAACAGTAAGATAATATATTTAAAGTGTTTTAAGCCACTGAGTCCACAGTAATTTGTTATGGTGGCAACAGGGCACTAATACAATTCAAACATTCAGGACTCTGGAAGAAAGACTATAAGTAGAATGGCTGTCATCATTCTCTCCTTTCCCTTTCTATTTGTTGTTCACCATCTAAGCCTGGTTATTTATCTCCTTACCTACTTGCCTAAGGGAGAAATGGTGAGCAAAGGTGGAATAGACTGAGGGAGAACAAAAACAATATTTCATTTAGGTAGAGAATAGATTCTACAGTTGTCTTCATCTAAGAGAAGAGAAAAGAAATTAGAGACTTGAAATCAATAAATACATCATGAAAATAATGTTTATAAAAACAAAAGCAAGACATCCTTTGTTTTATTTTGTCATTACAAGATATCTAAACCTCACTCATTCCTCAACTCAACACAACCAGGGTTCTACCCGACCACTTCAACTGAAAAAATGTTCTTGCCAACATCTAATAAATGTCATTTCTAAATCTGAAATTATCTTCTTTCTCAACCCTAAAATGACATCAAACAAAATTGTACAAGACAAACAAGAAATAAATAACCTTGTCTCTGTCCTGTATTCACAATTTTGGAAAATTTAATTACCCTCAAAGTATAAGCCTTAGTATTTTCATCAACCATTTCCTCTCACCTCTCTTCAGGGTATTTTATCAGAGATATGTATCTTGAGTCTATTCCCCCCTCATTTTCCTCATCACTTCTTGCTTTAATATTTGCATTAAATATTTCCCTGGGACTGGCAGATGGCAATCTCTGCTTCCCTCACTTTAGCGACACTGTTGTCACACTTATCCATCCAAAACACAAATTTGACTGTGTTTAAAAATGTGGATGATGAAAATGGTTGTTTAAACATGAGCAGCATAGGAAGAACAACCATGTGATAAGTAACAGGTGCTGGCAGTAAACCAGGTGGGGATGGCAGAGCAGGGAAAGTTGAGGCACAGGGATGGTGTCAATGAATGAGTTGGATATGGGGGAGAGATTATTTAAGTGTATTTTGGACAAGAGAAGCAGGTTCTTCACTGTTTGAAAAGGGAGGTACATATAAGAGTGAAAACTAAAATGTATCCTAGAATGTTGAATTGATAGAGATATCAATATTAATTCATTATTTTTGATATAAACAAATAGATTTAGATGTATAGATATAGATATACACGTGTTTATGTCTATACATGTATTTCTATCCAGTGGCAAGACCTGGAAGAAGAGTCACCCCAGTGTTAATGGGGTGACACTCCTAATATCTTATGTTAAGAGTGTCACCCTAATATATAGGGGTAACTCTCCTAGCACCTAGGTATTGACTTCTAAATATGATGCTACTGGCCAGGGCTCCTTGGGGAAATGACTACATCGAGTGCTGAGGCAGAACAGGTGAAACATTAACTTGGAACATCTTACTGTGTCCCTAAGCAAAGCAGTGTCCCAAAGATGATTGTGACTTGTCAAATTCACAAGATAAAAACCCTTTTGAAAAGCCTGTTGCTGGTCAAATAGGGTGCAATTTGATTATCAAAATAAATAATGATCATAATAGGTTATAATCCTTTGATTAAATTAGGAATTGATTAGGCCATCTGGATATAAACAGATAGACATTTCAATAAGGAGATGTTTATATGGTATCCAAATATCTTCCAACAAAATACTTATTAAATTACATTGGGAAAAAGAGTTATTCTGCATTGAAGACATCTGGGAGAAACCACCTTAATCAGGTGATAAAAGACAACATCAGTATTATGGGAACAAATTGAAATTGGGTGCCACCTGATTGGATGCAACAAAAAGGACACTTGATCTCTTCTGCCAAAGTTGTACAACCTGGATCTAAACCTGAAGAAACATTAGACAAAGGCAAGTTGAGGACATTCTACAAAATAACTGGCCCAACATGTGTGATTGTGTCAATTTCATGATAATCAAGGAAAGGGTGAGAAAATATTCCACACTGAACAAAACTGAAAAGCATGACAACTGAATGCAGCACACGTTTTTGGACTCGAGCCCTTTGTTAAAAGAAACATTTTGGGGACCACCGGCAAAACTTGAATGGGGCCTACCAATTAAATACTAATATCATATCAATGTTACTTTCCTGATGTTGACGACAATATTATAGTTAGGCAGAAGAATGTCCTTATTTATAGTGAATATGCACTAAAATATTCGTTGGTAATGAGGCATCAAGTCAGCATCTTACCCTTAAAAGATTCAGAGAAAAATAATGTTCCTTGCACTGTACTTGAAATTTTACTGTATGTTTGACATTGTTTCAAAGTAAAACCTTTTAAAAATGTTTGATGGCCTTTTAATGCCCATGGACATAATTTTGCTACATTAATATGCCATTCTCATTCTGTCCATGCCTACCACTTTCTTTATGAAATATTTTATTTATCTTTATTCATGTTGGCTCTTTGTGAACTTCTAAGATGAATATCTTTGTGTGAGGTCTCAACTTTTCCAGAGTCTTACAGGCAAAGTAACTTGATGAAATCTTAATATGCTTAGCTTAAAACAAAGTATAGTTGACAAAAAAGAAAAGTATTGAAAAATCTTTCCCTGGGACAGAAACATTTTGTAGTTGTCTACTGTTTCTTGAAACCATCAGACCGTCCTACATGCCCTGTGCACCAGTTTGATGAAACACCTACCCTTTCCCTAAACATGCAATGTCCCCTGGGACTTTATGTTTTCATTCCTGGTTTTCCACATACCTGATAGCCCTTGCTTGTTGCCTCCGTATTTTAATCCCCTAATAGAGAATGTCTGCCCATCTTTCAAGATCATCAATCTCTCCAAGCCATAGAAAGTTCTTTTTGAATACTCCCATCCTGCTTTGTATATAACTGTATTATAACCCTATTATGTACTAAATTATGTGTTTATCAATTTGTCTTCCTGCACCAGAATATATGTCCTGGGAGATAAACTCATAACCATCCTGGTAATCCCCAATGATACTACAGTGCCTATCACATTGTAAACACTTACTGATAGACATTGACTGAACGAACGAGGTAAATCTTAAGAGAATTAATAAATCAAAAAAAAAAAAAAAGAATGAGCAGAAGTTGAATTCTAGTGAAAAACTATTAACCAATTTTGTTCTTTTTTTTTTGTTAAATGTGGGACCATGTGGTATTCCTGTGGTTTATGAAAGACTATCAATGTTGGATTTTTGTATGTTTTTGCTATGGTATCAGTGATTTGTTGTTTGTACAAAATGTCACATATTTAAATATTGTTATTTTGTTAGTATGTGAACGAAAATAATATGTAGTGGGAAGTTGGAAAGAATGAGAAAGGGGAGGCTGAAATATAAAGTGCTCATAAAATTTGAGGAAATACAAAATCAAACCAAGATGTTCACCCATCTCTATTTATAGTAGCAGTTAATATTCAATGACCTTTGTAACACTGGGAAGCCAAACATTCATAGTGTTGGCCTTTTGATAATTTGGGGTGAGAGGCAGGAAACTCACTAAAGATGTATGAGTTTATGCTACTCATGGTATCTCAAAAAATTACAAAGGATTTGCTTAGTAAAAACTTATTTGTATATACAATTGCATAATCGTTATAAAAATATGCTCAGTGTTTTTGGAAAATTTTATAACTGTCTCAAGAACACCAGGAAGACAGAATTTTATTTGTTCTTAGCTTAAGTCAAACATTTTGGCTATTCTAAGTGAAATAAGGCAGGCACAAAAAGACAAATACTGTATGATGTCACTTATATATGGAGTCTAAAAAAGCTGATCTCATAGAAACAGGGAGTAGAAATGTGGCTACCAGAGGCTGGGAAGGAAGAGGTGAGGTGGGGTGGGGAAAAGGAAAATGTTGACCAAAGGGTAAAAAGTTTCAGTTAGACTGGAGGACTAATTTTTAGTGAACAATTGCACTGCATGGTGACCACAATTAATAGTAATGTACTGTACTTTTCAAAATTACTAAAAGAATATATTATTAATGTTCTCGCCACAAAACAATGATAAGTTTGTGAAGTGATGAAGATGTTAATTGGCTTCATTGAATCTTTCTACGATGTATACATAGGTCAAAATATCACATTGTACCCCATAAAATACACAACTGTTATTTGTCAAGTAAAAATTTTAAAAACTTGAGAAAAATTTGGACAATGCTTTTGTTTAAAGTATATTTCTAACAGATAAAACTCCTACTTTTAAATATAAAATACTTTTTAAGCTCCTTTTGTAAAGGATTGAGTCTTTCTCATCTTTCTATATCTCTTTCTAACTCAAACACTGAACTGTGTAATTTCTAGGTTTTCATTCCAGAGTGACTAAATGAAAGTAAAACGACTTTTTTTTTTGAAAACAGCACAACACTTAGCCAACAATATTTATGTGACTTGAACTATTTCTTTGAGTTTTACAGCATCCCATTATTCCAGTATTTTTATCCTATAGGCATTAAAATACTAAAAAAGGTAAACATATGTTGATGCATACATAGGATATATTGTTTATATAAAATTTCAAAATGTATGTGTGAAGACAATGATTTTAGGGTTCCCTTTCTCTCTAATCTGAACCAGGATTACTATCTGAATAGTGAATTACTATTATTATTATTTGCATTAGAAAAATGATATGTTCCTAATCTTTTGAAGTGAGATTATTCAAGTTTAAATGTCTCCCTAAACCACACAGTGATGTTGAAAATGGAAGCTTTATACACATGTAGACTTTTCCAATAAAGCTTTGAAAAATCTTTAATAGGATGGGTGCAATGGCTCAAGCTTGTAATCCCAGCACTTTGGGAGGCCGAGGCAGGCAGAGCACGAGGCCAGGAGATCGAGATCATCCTAGCCAACACGGTGAAACCCCGTCTCTACTAAAAATAAAATTAGACGGGTGTGGTGGAGTGCGTCTGTTGTCCCAGCTATTCGGGAGGCTGAGGCAGGAGAATCGCTTGAACCCAGGAAATGGAGGTTGCATGCAGTGAGCCAACATCGCGCCACTGCACTCCAGCCTGACAACAGAGCGAGACTCCATCTCAAAAAAAAAGAAAAGAAAAGAAATATCTTTAATAAACATTCTCTTATTAACCCCTTTACAAGGGGTTGGTATGAATGTGGAGATGGTAAACTAATAAATCTATCAAAATAAAGAGAAAATCTATTTTATAAGAAAGCAATCTCCTGATGCGTCTTTTATTTGAAATTCATACTAATTAAATGTCAACTTTATGAATGTTATTAAATGGTGGAGAGTTATAAGAGTTTGAAATAGTGGGTCGAATCTCAGTTACTCCATAATTTTTCTGTTTTGTAGGGAATATTCGTATCCAACCTGACCTCCTCATAGGGTTGTTATGAAGATCAAACACATACAAACATTCTCTGTAAATTCTCACTTTAAAATATCAACAGAAACCAGTTCAGAAAAATAGAGAAATATTCTATATAAGCTACCAGTCAATGCTTAGCAGGAATTCGGAGGATTTGTGCTTATGTTTTGGCAATCCAAAGGTTTCCTTGTATCCACCTTTGCTTTTTAAAATTATTCTTCCCATCTTAGTGGAGCGGCTTGATACCCCACCTAAAAAGCCCTTTAAGAGCTTTCCATCTTTCTTTGCACTTAATAACAGTATATTGAAGAAGAAAGGGCTCCCAGGACACAGCTGGCCTCCCCTGGGGGGAGCTGGCAACCTGGGGTTGCCTTCCACTCTGCTCGCCCTCACTGTACCCTAATCCCACCCCATTCGTCTTCCTCCCGTCCTCGGAGGCTTTCCCACTGCACTACCTTTACCTGTGCGATGCTGCATTTCTCCCCTGCCTAAAGTGCTCTTCCTGTAACTTCCTTGCCACTCAAATGTAATAAACACATCCTTCCCTACATTCTTTCTCACCTTCAGGATCCCATTACTTCATTCCATTATCCTTCACTGAGTCTGACACCAGGTGTCAACCTATTCGCCTTTATAAGATCTCGTAGCCTGATTCTATTTGGCCCAGTGTAACACTTTTAAAAGCGCAATTCTATTTCTGGTTGTATAATTATTTCATTCACATATATCTTCCCCTCTAAATTGTAACCTCCACGTGAACAATGACTTTGTTGTTCATCGGTACATCTCCAGTTACAAGTGCCATTACCTGACACTAAATAAGTATTAGTTGAACAAATAAATTTGAGACAAAAGTGGGATACCAAAGTGCATAACACATTTAATCATGTTTCCTGATAAACTCTCAAGCTAAAGTTGAGGACCTATTGTTTACTTCTGAAAAGGCTCAATCTACTACCAAAAAGGATAAAGTGGCCACTCTCTATATTGCTTTGGGTTAGACAACTTTGAATTAAGGTGTGACAAGAGATGATCTAGCTAATTCATTAATTTTCCCAAATGTATGCTTTTATGATACCTGGAACATTTCCTCTCTGATATTATTTAAAAAAGTGATAGAAAAATTTCACAGTGCAATTTTATTGCGCAGATGGAGAAAGTGAGGAAGAATGAGTTAATTAAAATATTTTACCCTTAAAAATGAATCCAATATAGTGGTATTTACAATCAGCTTCTGTTGATAAATGATAATAGAAAGAAATAATGTAGTTTACCTGAATCTGTACATAATACAAATTACTTTTTCTTGTTTGAAATTTAGGATAATTGTTTCAAAATTTTAGAAAATCCTATTTTGTTTTGCTAAAGAAAATATTAAAATCCGTTTGTTTCTTGTTTGTACATCAATTACTAATAGTCTACTACTATGAGAAGGCATATTGGATGTTAAAGAAATCCTACAATGAAAAATCCACTGAAATAACTGTCATATATAATGCCTTACAGAAATACAAAATTCTTCTTGTATCAGAAAAGAACAATAGAGTATAGTCTGGATTCTGAGCTTTAGGCAGATCACCCAGTTCCCTGAGCCACTGTTTCCTCATCTTTATTCCAGGATTGTATGAGCCATTGGGTTGAGGTAATAAAAACCCACCAAACCAGAATAAAATAAGGCAAAATGACTATTCTACTGCATGTGTTAGAAAGGAAATTATCATCACTCAGATTTCTCATTGATTTTACATAAAAAGAAGAAAAAGTCTATTGTGACAGATCATGTACATCTTTCCATATCTGATTTATTTTATTTCCCCCAAGCTTCAACTCCACACATTCACTCAGATCTAATGCAATCCCCAAGGAACTACCTTATTTCAGTCTCTACTGAGATCAGATCAGCCCCTGCAGGACCCCTTTCAGTGAAACAGAAGATAAGTGTACTTGATTTTCCCCTAGTTAGCTGCATATAGACAATTGAAGATTTAGTATTAGGATTCTGATTAACTTGGAGACAAAAAATTTTACCTTATTTGTATATTTGCATATTGTTGAAAAAACACTTGATTCTATCAATTTATTGGTAATCAACACCAATACCATTTTTTAATTTAAAAACTTTTAAATATTCTTTAAGAAAAATCACTCTATACATTTTAAACAACAATGATAAGAATGATACCCATGTGGGTAAGAGTGAGTTTCTCTTCATTTCCTTAAACATTAACTTAAACTAATTCTCAAAAAAGCCTGTCCTTTAAAAAGAGAGAAACTAAGCTGTTCAGAATAGGTAAGTCATACGTGCATTTACATCTTCCCTTTACCAAAGAATTCAATGAATAGTGTGGAATGGTAAATCCTAACAATTATAGGTAAGACTTGGTCCACATTAGTCATTCCTCATAATACATTAAGAAACTTCAGTACATTTAGCCATGATTTATATCCAGAATTGAACCTTAATATTTCTTTGATTATAAACTAGATCAATGCACTTCTCAATAGCAAAGTTTATTTGTATGTTACATTGGATGTAGCAAAATTCTTTAACTTATATTTTAACCATTTAAAACTCAAACCCATAGTATTAATATTTTTATAGAAAAACAAGAAGGCATATGCTTTTGATTTCAGTATTATGCTCAATACAGTTTCTTTCAGATAAGTTCCTGAACACATTTGGGGTTATTTGGGGTTAGAAGCTGTTGTAAGGGGATGAGGGTAAGCTGATGTATTTTTAAGGTGCAGTGGTGTGGCAAAGGGCTTCACAACTAGGTTTATTTGTGACACCATTGTTTCTGACATCTGGGTGAGACGTCATTAGTGTTGTCGGCGCTGTTGTTGCCGTGGCTGCTGCTGTTTTTGCTGGTATTCCTATAGACGGGCCACTGTGCTGACCATGCACTGAGTCCTATGGAAGGAAGTCCAGGATTATTTTGGGACAGCCCTTCAAGGTGCAAATGGAGTGGCCCCTCATCTTCCTTATTCTAGCTACATGGACTTTCAATTCCATCCTGGTAGCGGCGGCCAGAGGAGGCGGGGGGAATGCCCTACTACATGTTGTTTATGATTTTGTTGCATTAGTTGGTTTCTTTTATTAAACCAGATACAAGTTGTGACATGCTGTTAATTCAATCATTAATAACTAGCTCAAATTGCAATTCTATGTCAGCAGGTTGGTGTTGATTAAGATGTAGCCGTCGCTAGCATATTGTTTTAAATGCTTGATAAATTTTATTTTCTGCAATGATGACTGGGTTGGCTTATTTTTTTTCCCCCTTTTCTCTCTAAGCCAAAAGAATTACACAAATGTCCCTCTGTGGGTCCTCTGAAGATCTCGGCATTCCCTGTGCTGCAAGGCGGGCTGGTAACCACTAGAGGGGAGGAGACAGCCGGATTTATTGAAGGCCTCACCACAGAAACTGATGGTGGGGAAGCTGTCAGAGGACGAGATGCCAAGCAAAAGGGTTTAAGTATATTATAAAGGTCCCCAAAAATGGAAAAAAAAATAGGCTTCTTAAAGTATGCAAGAAATTTGCTTCTAATAAATTTGAAATGACTGGGAAGGTAGTTAGAATGCTAGAATGTGGTTACCTGTTAACCCGTAGTCTTAAGCATTAGCAAGATGATCTATGAAATCAGAGTTAACCCTTATGAAAATAAATGGCTCTCTCCTTAGGCCTATAGCTAATGCACATACAAGTTAGGAAAAGTAGCTATAGGGGAAGGATGAGGGAGGGAATCAAAGATGATTTGGCTGTTCAGGGTAAAGTGGAAACTCAGCGTATAGCTCATTTTCTAAAGTATTCTAACACCTGCCCCCTCTTCCCATCACTTTAAATCCCTTCACTCCATTGCTAAAAGGGGAATAGAGAAAGAGACATCACAGATAGTAAAATATTGATATAGTAAACAAAGAGAGAGGGGGCAGAGGAGAGAAACTTTATTTAACCTTCCTGATCATTCCAAAGTACAATATCCTAATGCGGGTAACTTAAATAAAAAATAGTCATCCAGGATTTATGAGGTAGCATATATACCATGTGAGCATTATTTTTGTTGATTTTTAAAATCCAACTTGACCTTTTTAATCTTTCATTTAAAAAAATAAAATATACTTAATATTAGTATTGTTAAAGCACTATAATGTAGAACTAGAGGTTGTTCTATGTACTCTCCTGAGTGTAATTGCACTAAGATCATTCAGTTTCCATTTGGAAAGCCAGTGGCAATTACTGGAATACAATGTATCATGCATTTGCTCACTGGATATAAAATGTATATACTAATTCGCAATAAAATGTAACAGCTGTCAGTGCATTTTCTGCTCTGTTACTTCAATAAATTGGAACTCTGACTAGAAAATGGGAATATTGCATTTTTACACACTCTGTAATGTGTTTGCTTTTTGCAAATACAATTTATTTTTTTCATGGCAAAAATTGTGGTTTGTTATTACTGCTAGTGGATAAATATTCCTATATCAGAATGAATTACATATGGTATCTGTAAAGAAGTAGTAATATTTTCTGCTTTTTATTGTAGCCTGTCTCCAGTAAACAAAATACACTTAACCTACTTCTGTCACACACTGAGTGTGTGCGTGTTGTTTTATCTTTTTTTTTCCTTTTTTTTTTTCTTCATTGTAATGTGTGTGTGTGTTGGGGATAGGGAAAGAAAGTAAAAGTTTATTTTTTACTGTACATTCTCAGGTGTCTGAGTTGATCGTTAACATTTATTTCCAGATATTATCAATTTCCTTCAGAGCTTATTTTTGTTGAAGTTTCAAATCTCTTCTTTCATACATTTGCTAATCAGATTTCTTTAGAATCGGAAGCAGTGTCTCTGAGTTTTATTTAAAATAAAATGCCTGCACATTTCTGTAATTTTGTTACTTGAGGTCAGACTTTTCACAGATAATTAGCCTTTTACACACTGTGAAATCAACCTGCATTGGTTATTTGGCTAGACTCTTTGCTTCTGTTCTTATTTCCCAGAAGGTTAACGTGCTGAAAATCTAGCTTCAAGCTCATAGTACTGTCTCTTTGTGTTGCTAATTATCCCGTTGCATAATTATTAATATCAGGAGCAGGAAGAGGAAACAAGCACACCAAATAGTCGTGAATGCTGGTGTTCTGGCAGGAAGCAAGCCCTGCATTAATAAAATGTGCCTGTGCCAATATCACAGGAGATAGGAGCGTTCCTTGTTAAGGATCATTTATTAACTGAGATCATCTTTTAGTTCGCCTTGGGGTAATGACTAATGTCAATGGCAAATTTCACAGTTGTCTAGAGAAATGAATTAAATTTGTAATAAAAAGCCCTTCGGCTTGTTGTACATGTTCATTTATTGGAGTAGTTGAACTAGGAGAACTGTAAGGCAACCAAGAACATCGGCTTAATTTTCCTTACATATAATAGTGACCTTTAGCTCCATATTGAAAAAGTTACCTATTATGGACTGGTAAATTAAATGAGAAGTTCCTCTAATGCAAAATAAACTAGATGACTGAGCTAAGTTAAACGGCCTTTGAGCCTATGAGATTCTTGGTAGAAAAATATTCTTTCTTTTTTTAATATGACTTTTCTATTTAAGCATTTATAAAATTAGTCACTTGACATATAAGCAAGAGAATAAGATAATTCAAAGTGAGATTTCACAAAGAGTTACACCTACTTACATTACTACAACTTCTTTGGGTGGTTTCATTTTGTGTTCTGATGCAGAGTTTTTAAAAGTGTTGTTTTAACATTCCTTAATTCTAAATATACAGCGTGTTTTTTTTATTTACTTGGCATAACATGTTGTTACTGTAATTATTTATAGAAGTTTTTGTGTTGCTTTATGTAGTTAAGGAAAAGCATATTTCCCAGGAGGAAGAACAATTACACCACTGTCTCTTTTTCTGTTTTAGAAAGACTAATTCTGGATTCCTTTTCTGAGAGTGAATTGGACTTGGAAAACGATAATTACTTTTAAAACAAGCATGATGACCAAGCATGGTATTCTCATTTTATAGTAGAAAATATAGAAGCGCCAGTCTTCTTATGCAATCTGTTATCTATACCGTAGTGCACTCGAAACAAATTATCCTAATCAAGGCACCAGCCCAGCTAAGGATAGCAAGTGAAAAATGGACACTATTTTCAGGGAGTAAAGACAATTGCAATATTTATACAAATCAAAATGTAATATTTCTTTCAGAGAGGTAAATTCTCATCACATATTTTAAAACTTTAAGGTAATGTCTCAATATTTTCACCTCGAAATCATATTAGTGAAACATATTCACAGTCTTACAAAGCTTCATTCCCATTTACAGTGGGACTGACCATACTCAGACAAATACACACATGTGCACTACATGCCCTCCCACACTAGATGTGTTGCTGAAGATGAATAAAAATATCTGTGAGACTCATGGAAGATAAAAACAATAATAAAAAGACACAATCAGAAGTATGGTTAATTTTAGTTGCCCTTGTTTTTAAACACGTATGAAAATGCCTGCTTGAAGCTTATGCCTTCCAAAATTACAGGCTTATGGAACTATGACAAAATGCTGATTTTTTTCTCAATTGTAATTAATTTTCCAATTACTTATGTTTATGTGTCCTCTTTTGAACCTAATATTCTATCTATGTTATACCAGCCGTTGTATCATCTACAAATGGGTGGAGTTGCCCCCAAATTATTTTGTCTCTCTGGCTTATTAGGTGTGCTATGGGGTGTACTATATGCTTATTCATGACGTAGGAGAACCCAAGAAATATGGACATCTTTTTCTCCTTAATGCAGATGCTCACAGCATTCTAATAAGGCCAGGAAAAGAGTTCCCAGTCCCCTTTTACCCACTCTCTCACCTCAGCCCTTTTCAGCACGTAACCTTATTCTCTGTGGGATTACTTGGATGAAAACCAATTAGGGAGCAGCTCGCAATATAAATGCATACAGATTACTGCAGATTGAACATTCCCCATGCCAACTCATCATAGAGTATATAATGCCCTGAATGGGATAAATATTAAAGAGTTGAACGGAAATAGACACAAAATATTGAGAAAAGACTCTGAATGCCAAATCAGGTCTAATAAAATATATTAACTAAAAGTGTGGACTTCTCTTCACCCCACCTCCCACGGCCCTCCTGTTCTCTGCTTTTTGTGGAGATAGGCCCACAGGCCTCCTGAAGTGTGTTCTCCTCCGCTAATCCTTCCACAATGGTCCACATGAGTTTCTGAGGGGTCCCTCATGCCCTTCATTCTATGTCTGTCAATTTCTGTCTAATAAGCCAGTCTCCCTCCCTGCTTCTTCCAGAGGGCCTCATTCTCAAGCTGGGAGGGGACAGCTGTCTCAAAGGCCTGGACAGCTCTAAGAATTACTGAATGGGCAAATCAGTATTTAGCGACCATGCTTTTGAGCATGCTTATTGGAATAAGTGCAGCAAAAAAACCGGCAGGGGAGGGAAATGTATAAAGGTCCTCCAGTTAGGACTTCTGGGACGTGGTTTGGAAGGCTAACTTGGAGTCCCAGAGAAACTGCAACCAAAGTTAATGATTAATGTAACACTTTTGAATGATAGAGTGATGGCGATCAGCTTGGAAGCTTTTTTTTTTTTTTTTTTCAGTAACCAGAGGGAGCAAAGGGGTTTTTCTCTTTCTCTCCACACCTCTCTCAATGTAATTGTCTTTCCATGCTCTCTCTCTCCACTTCCATTAATTAGAATATATTGACAGTGTGCAAGCTAAACACACTAAAACATTAAGGTTATACCAATACTTTTTGGTTACATATTCAGACCTTTTTTTTTCCTCCCTTAGATCTGTCTCCCTAATGATATTGCATATGCTAACTTCTTACTCAGATAGAAAGAAACATTCCCAGACTTCATGTGGACTATTTGATTCCTGGGCATAAAGTTCCTATTAAAGTGGACCCAAGTTTCATGATCCTAGGTATAGAGTGAAATGAATCACTGTGCATAATTAATCATCATCATTATTCACTCAGTTCTTTCCATTGGCCCTTTGTGAGAAGTCCAGCGAGTCATAAATCCAAGAGGATGGGGAGTTTATTCAAAAGTGATTGAAAGAGTCTGCAGGTTTTGGCCAAAGACTGGTGTGGCCCCTTTGAACTTACACCTTTCTCTTCTCCATTTTTCAGTTTCCACCTATGGCTTCACTTGGCAGGTCACAAGCTAAAATGCTTTTCATGGGATCAAAATCTGTGACCATTGCAAATTAGAATACTGGAAGGAAGAGGCGAATATACTATTTTTTCCATACACTGTAGTATTAAAATGACATTTCTAAGTGTTTTAAATAGCTAAGTGGGAAGATGTTACCTGAAAACAGAATTGTTCTTACGAAGTTGTATCTCAGGAGAATAGAGCTTTATGACTAATGAAACTCTATAAAGAAAATTCTGGGGTTAGAGACACAAAATATATGTTTTTCACACCCTTTTCTTTCACTACATACTCTTTTTTTTTTTTTTTTTTTTTTTTTTTTTTTTCCCTATTACTCAGCATCACTCCTTTGACCACGACAGGGAAGATCCACTGGGAAGGATCTGAACTCTAGAATCTAACTTTCTGGAATCATGTTTCTAACTCTATCACTAACTCTCCACATGAACTTGAGCAATTTACTAAACTTCTCTGTGCCTTAGTGTCTCTTTCATAAAGATGGAAATAAAAGTAGTTGCAGCCGGACGTGGTGGCTCACGCCTGCAATCCTAACACTTTGGAGGCTTAGGCGGGTGGATCGCAAGGTCAAGAGATTGAGACCATCCTGGCTAACATGGTGAAACCCCATCTCTACTAAAAATACAAAGATTAGCCGGGCATGGTCGCACATGCCTGTAGTCTCAGCTACTTGGGAGGTTGAGGCAGGAGAATCACTTGAATCTGGGAGGTGGAGGCTGCAGTGAGCCGAGATAGCACCACTGTACTCCAGCCTGGCGACAGAGCGAGATTCTGTCTCAAAAAAAATTAATAAATAAATAAAAATAAATTTAAAAAAATAAAAAATAAATAAAATAAAAAAGTAGTTTCCAATATATCAAGACTAAAGAAAGAGGGGCTCAGGGCAGTGCTGGGCACAAAATAAGTGTGTGATAAATGTCAAGTCTTATTGTTTTTGTTGACAAAGAAAGAAGCAAGGCATAGGTGCCTACAATTGTTATTTAAATTTTTGGGGTAACCTATAGACAATGCAATAACTCAATAAAAGTAAATAAGTGTTCTATATAATAAAAGAGAGAAATAAAATTTTTTGATTATCTGTATTTAATAGATATTACCAAGAGTGCTTAAGTAAATCAAGTAGAAACTGTACAATCAGTTAATATTTTTACTGAGATGGAGTTGACACTAAATATACAAAATCAAAAAACTGATTTATAGAACTAGTGATAAAAACATGTACAGCTTTGGGGAAGGGAAAATCACATTCATTCACAAGCACATTTAGTAACAAATAATTAAGTCTTAAAGGAAGAACACTAAAAATATTGTCAGGACATCAAGAAGTCTTGAAAACATGGAGGTGTCAATCAAAAAATCTTGTATAAAATTGAAAGTGTACAAAATTAAACTTACAAATACAATTATTTCTAAGTTAAATATATAAGTACAATAAAATTTCAATAACAACAAAAATAGTGGATTATTTTAAGATTAACCAAAAAATTTCAAAAAGTAAATTAAGATAAAAAAGCAAATAAAAGTTTGAAATAGAAGAATTATATGAGGGTTTAGCAGTATCAGCTACTAAAGTATGTTATAAAGCTACAATAAGTTAAACAGTGTGGTAGTAGAGGAAGTAGAACAAAGATAAATAAGTGCAAGAGAAAGTTCAGAAACATGATGAATGAATGTATTCAACTTAGTCATAGTTTAAATTAACATAGACAGAAAGAGTTAATAACTACCACTGGAATAATTGATTAATTTATTTCCCATAGGAGTAGGGTCACAGAATATGAATAACAATTCACAAATGAAGAAGTCAAAGGGCATGCAAAATAAAGCTACAATATCTACATTTTGCCTATCCAAAAAAAAAAAAAGTAATACAAGAACTTTAAAACTGTTTCAGGTGGCCTAGAGTATAAGGAAGCAAGGCTTGTCATATAGTTCTGATGTAAATGTTAATTAATAAAAAGCCTTTGGTAGGGCAACTCAGCAATACATATCAGCAGTCTTAAAAATGCTTATTCTGCTCGGCAGAGTATTTCCACTTTTAATAATTTATTCTGAGAAATTTACTAGAAATAGAAACAAAATATTATTTATAAATATTCACCCAAAATTTATGTAATAACATAAAATTAAGAAAACCATACAAATTACCAGCAAGAAGGTATTTTTTTAAAGTATAGCATACTTGTAAGTTGGCTTGCAAGTTGTAGCATTTAAACAATGTCACTGCACAGTATTTAAAACATGGAAAATTATTATAATGAATTGATACTCCTAAATATCTATTATTATTATTATTATTATTATTATTATTATTATTATTATTATTTTTGAGAGAGAGAGAGTCTTGCTCTGTCACCAGGATGGAGTGCAGTGGCACAATCTCAGCTCACTGCAACCTCCACCTCCCAGGTTCAAGCAATTCTCCTGCCTCAGCCTCCAAAGTAGCTGAGACTACAGTCATGTGCCACCACGCCCAGCTAATTTTTGTATTTTTAGTAGAGAAGGAGTTTCACCATGTTGGCCAGGATAGTCTCGATCTCTTGACATCGTGATCCACCTGCCTCAGCATCCCAAAGTGCTGGGATCACAGGCATGAGCCTCTGCACCCGGCCTATTATTTTTTAAGTATATAGTTTTGTCTCAATGTTTTGTAAGCAAAAAACACAGATAGAGAAAAACTACTAGAAGACTGGAAACTAAAATATTTGGCTTTTGTATAAAATGGGATTACTGATTATTGTTGCTTTCTTCTAATGTTTTCTGACTTTTGTTGATTTTCCACAGTAAGCACCTTTTATATTTAGGAGAAAATGTTTATAGAAGAGATTCTGTAGTGTTCCAGTTTGAGTGAAAGCAAGAACTATGGAGTGTGATAATCCTATCATAGTAAACCTGCTCTTCCAGATAGTAATTCTTAGTAGTTTCTACAATAACAAGAGAGATTTTGTCTTGGCATCGTCACATAGTCTGTTTTCTCTGCTAGGAACATATTTTCATATCTCCCTCCACTCTCATGGCCTATGAGATTTTAATATCCTTTGTACCCCCATTTACATGTGAGTTCCTTAAAGAGCCTACTTTGTCAATGTAACTAATAAATACTCTCCCTTGGTTCATTTCCTTTATAAATTGACACTTAATTTGCACATAAGTATGTTTCCTTGCATAGCATTTGTTATTCAATAGAGACTGTAGGTTTTCTTGGAACATGGTCCCTGAAAATGTGCTCATCACCATACACCTGGTGACTCCACAAGGACTGGCATCTGGCAGTTGCTCAAAAATAGTTGTCAGCTTCAGGAATGACTAAGTTAGCTGTGATACGGTGGTCAGATTCTGATTGCTAATCCTCATTATTGTCATCTTGAGAATTAGAAGACGGTTTTCCTCATGGGGTTGTTATAAAAACAAAGTGAGATAATATTTACCAAGTGCTTAGAACACGGTGGTTGCTAGGATTAAACTTATGTATTACTAATTTATTACATAATGATGATTACAATAAGGGAAAGAAGAATGTTTAGAGGTTTAGAAATAGACAATTTTAAAAGTGATTTAAAAAACCATAAATTTCAGAAATAGCTTAGAATGTCCTGCCCTATGGCAGGGTGGGGACAAGGTTGGGGTGGTAATAGGCAAACTGGATTACTTTCTTGTTTTCTGAATCTTCCTACTCCGATAGTGAAAACCATGGTTCCCAGGATTGTTCATTCACTTGCGTAATTGCTCAATTCCAGTATACGTGCACAATGGTATCAGAATTGTTAACCCATATGTCCATGGGTAAAACACTTTATCAACAAGAGTATAACAACCACATACAGTTCCTTTTCCATTTAATCTAATAAATTTCACTCACTCCAAAGTTACTTAGGTTAATGCCATTTTCCCCACCGCCTTCAGGGAGATTCTTTCCCACATTCATAACATGATTAGACTCTCTTGTCACTCTCCATACCATCCTGGAAACCACTAATCTGTTAACCATCTCTAATGTTTTGTCTCTCTCAGATGTCATGTAATATACAATATATAACATTTACAGCCTAGCTCCTTTCACTTAGCAATGTGTATTTAAGATTTATCTACATCTTTTTATGAATTGAAAGCTCATTTCCTTTTATTTCTAAATAACAAATATTCCATTATGTGTATGTACTACGTTTTGTTTACTCATTCACCTATAGAAGAAAATATTGGTTGCTTCCAGTTTTTGGTGATTATGAATAAAGATGATATAAACATTTATGTGCAGGCTTTTGTATGGACATATTTTCAAATCAGTTGGATAAATACCTAGGAATCCAATTGCTGGATCATATGGAAAGACTATGTTTAGATTTCTAAGAAATTGCCAAACTATCTTCTGAAGTGTCTATACATTTTGCGTTTCCACCAGCAAAGAATAAGATCTCCATATCCTTGCTGTCATTTGATATTTTCAGTGTTTGGATTTTAGCGATTTTAATGTGTATTGCTATTTCATTGTTTTATTTGCAATTCTCTAAGTACCATTGATATTGAGCATATCACATATGTATATTTACTATCTTATATCTTTGGTAAGATGTCTGCTCGGATCTCTTACCTATTTTTAAAATTGGTTTGGTGATTTTAGATATTGAGTCTTACATTTCCTTGTATGTTATATATACATAAAGAACATTCAAGTTCTTTATAAGATATATGTTTTGAAAATATTATTTTAAAGCTGATTGCTTGTCTTGATTCTTTTAACACTGTCTTTCACAGAATACAGGTTTTCAATTTTAATAAAGTAGTCAAACCAAATTTATTTTCATGAATTTTGTTTTGTGTGTTGTATGTAAAATATCACTATTAAACCCAAGGTCACATAGATTTTTCTCCTATATTTTCTTCTAGAAGTTTCATAATTTTGCATTTTCCATTTAAGTATATGTTCATTTTGAATTAACTTTGTGAAAAGTGTAAAGTCTGTGTCTAGTTTCTTTTTTTTAACCATAAACGTCCAAAAGTTTCAGCAACATTTAATGAAAATAAATGTTTTTTCTCGTTTGTCAAAGTTCAGGTAATATTTGCATGGGTCCGTTTTGGGCTTTCTGTTCTTTCACATTGGTTTATGTATCTGTTTTTCTGCAAATACCATACTGTCTTAACTATTGTAGCTTTTAATTATGTCTTCAAATTGATTATTGTGAGTCCTCTTACTCTGTTATTCTTCAGTATTACATTGGCTGTTCCAAATCTTTGGGCTTTTTTACATAAAGTGTACAATCGGTTTGTTGATAACCATAAAATAGCCTGCTGGGATGTTGATTGAGACAGTATTGAATCCGCAGATCAAGTTGGGGAGGACTGATGTATCACCATATTATTGATTTTTGACATATTATTGAGTTTTTCAATGCATGAACATGCAGTATATCACAATTTATTTAGGTCTTTAATTTCCTTTATCAGAATTTTGTAGTTTTGCGCATTATAGATCCTGTACCTGTTTCGTTAGATGTATGCCTATGTTGGTCTTTCTTTCTCTTTCTTCCTTTCTTTCTCTTCTTTCCTTCCTTTCTTTCTCTGCTTTTCTGCCTTCCTTCCTTTCTTTCTCTCTCTCTCTCTCCTTTCTTTCTTTCTTCTTTCTTTCTTTCCTTTCCTTCTTTTCCTATCATAAACAATATTTTTTAAAAGTTCAAGCTCCAACTATTCATTGTTGGCATACAGAAAAAAATTTACTTTTGTGTATTAACCTTGTATCCTGCGCTTTACTATACTTGCTTATTAGTTCTTGGAGGCCTTTTCCTTTTATAAGTTTTTAAATCCATTATTTGGGAATTTCTATAGAGATGATTATGTCATCTGTTAATGAACATAATATTATTTTTTCCTTCACAATCTGTATGTGTTTTATTTCATTTCCTATCTTATTAAGCCAACTAGGACTTCCAGTACACTGTTGAATAGAAGTGGTGAGAGAGGACATCATTGCTTTGGTCATAATCTTGGAAGAATGTGCCCAGTTTTTCATGATTAATTATAATATTAGCTGCCAATTTTGTTAGATGTTCTTTATTGAGTTGAAGAGGTTCTCTAGCATTTTTTTATTGCTCCAAGTTTTTATCATATATGGATGTTGACTTTTTCAAATGCCTTTTCTCTAACCACTGCATGATTTTTTTCTAATTTGTTTCTTCTATTGAGTTAAAATTTGTCAATTAGGAATCATCAGAGATAACAAGGATATTTCTCATTCCATATCTTTCTGAAGGTTACCAGCCATTTAAAGTTTTATGTGAATTGATTTATTGATTACTTTCTTTCTCATTTGTCATTTTTCTTGGAAGGCTTTATCCCTTATCCATAAAATGGTACAAGAAAACTATGTATCTCATAAAATTATGGTAAGAAATAAGTAGGCAAATAGCTATGAAGCCTTCAGAAGAATGAATATTCCATAGAAACAACTCAGTCAATATTTCTTATGGCTATCATTATGAATGCAAACATTATAATAGTTTTTATTTATTAAGTTTAATGCTGGGCAGATTTTGATAGGTAGTTAATGCTTAGATGACGGTCTATCCTGAGGGGCAGTACACTTGCGGGAAATATAAAGACAGTGACCACCTGAGGTACTGAATAAGTAGTGGAAAGGTTCCTAACACAAATTAAATATTTTTAATGTGTGCCCAGATTTGTCTCTGAAGATGGAGACTCCCCACCTCTCTGTTGCTCCATTTGATCCCTGCTGACATGCTCTTGTACACAAATGACCTACGGTCACAGTGAAGGCTTATTATGTTTTATCTGGTAGACCCCACGTGCTTTTCATTATATTGTCTTTCCATGGAATGAGAATGATCTCAAGGTTCCAAACTCACTTGTGGGACACTTTTTTTTTTGAGACGAATTCTCACTCTGTTGCCCAGGCTGGAGTGCAGTGGCATGATCTCTGCTCACTGCAACCTCCGCCTCCAGGGTTCAAGCAATTCTCATGTCTCAGCCTCCTGAGAAGCTGAAACTATAGACACATGCCACCACACCTGGTTAATTTTTGTATTTTTAGTAGCGATGGGGTTTCACCATATTGGTCAGGCTAGTCTTGAACTCCTGACCTCAAGTGATCCACCCGCCTCCGCCTCCCAAAGTGTTGCAATTACAGGTGTGAGCCACCAGGCCCAGCCTGGAACATACATTTTCCAAAAGTCCCAGACTGAGGCCACGGAAATGAAACTAAGCCCCCACCAAGAACTGGCTCATCAAATGTCAAATGAAACAAATATTACACTTAGGTTGCAACCCTCTCATTCATATAACTTGTTTTCATTTTGGGTTATGTCCTGCTTTTGAATGATTTTTTTTATCATTTGTGGCTTTGGCTGTACTTTATGTGAATTTGACGCATTCAGGGACAGTCTATCAAATTTAAAATACAGAAAGCCAAACAAGGATATAGGAAAGGCCTAAGGAAGAGCTTGAACGGTAAAGATAGATGCAGTTTATTTTTTTAATTCTGAGAAACAAATTATATTTTGGCAGACAATTATTTTTCAAACCATTTCAAATTTTACTAACCATTTTTCTCTCTTATGTGCTCAAACTATGGTGGAACTTTCATTATTTCCACAATTCAGGTTCTTCCACTCGGGAAATGCAACAATTACTGCATTGGGAAAAGGAAGAATGCCTTTCTGAAGAGAAGCTGCCATCTGCAGCTCGGCTAGGATTTGTCTTGGATGCTACTACCATTTGTAGACTTGTAATATCTTTCTAATTGCAGTTGCTGTTGACTTACAGCAAAACAGCAGAATACTTGCTGGCCATGGTCTATAAATGAAAGCAAAAAAAAAAAAAAGACAGGAAAAATCAACTAGTGGTTAGTACAACAGAAACTGAAACATAGTATTATAAACTTTATCTTTTTGTATAAATTTTTAATTGTCTGTATCAATGGAAAACAGGTCTGCCAATCAACTGATCCACTATTTTTCCCCAAATTTAATTTAGTCAGCCATTTGAACTATTCTACCAAAGCTGCTAAAAATCCAAAGGAAGGGATTTAAACGTTCTTACCTTGCTCTAGTCTAGATTTACTAGCCAGCATTTTACTGCAAAAGAGAAAGAGGCCATGTATCTTACCCCAAATATCCAACAAACATTTAGGATTTTGAAACCTTGATTTGTCTATAATATTCATAAATACTAAGTTTCTCTTATTGGCTAAATTAATACGTAAATATTAGTTGAAATGGTTAAGTGCAGATGCAATTCGACTTGCCTGAATCTGAATGTTTGTTACACCACTTAGTCACTGGGTGAGAAAAATGTGTTACATAACCTCTCTGAGCCTTAAATCCTTACATCCATTGTAACTCTTGGACACATAGCATCTGCATTGTAGGACTGTTGCATAATTAAGTGAAATGATTCATGTAGGATGCTCAGAACCATGTCTTCTGCATAGTAGGTCCTCATTAAACATTTTTTAAAAGATGGAGCCAAATTTTGCACCTTAAAGCTTTGTAGTATTCTACATGCCCCACATTTTTTTCCCTTGAGGACACAAAAGAAATCCTGGTTTCTTTGTTTTTCTTCCTGAATTCTTGCTTGGATTTAATTTTCTTTTCAGACCAAATTAGGGTGTGTTTAGTACAGAACCATACAGCATCAGATGGATTTTCGTTGGAGCAACTGAAACTTCATGTGCAGCAGCCTTTGTTCTGAATGTAATAATAAAATGTGAAGTTACGTTCAGGTGAAAGTAGGGCAGGCCTGCCTTTTAGAGATTTAAAAAAATAACAAAAAATGCCCCAATTCTCTTTTCACTGTTATAGAGATAGCAAGAAACCTCAAAAATATCTATCTCAGATCATCTTAAAAACAGAAGTTCTATAAAGAATATGGATAATGCCACCTGCATGGTTTTCCTTCCAAAATCATGAAGGCCTAATTAATGCATTCCAGGTTTTGTAAACTAGCTGTATTTCATTCTATCAAGTCATGTACCGGCATACCACTAATTGATTATGATCTTGTTTTTACTATGATTATGATCTTGTTTTTACTAGCCATAGATAGTTTAAAGACCCACATGAAGACCTGTATTTGTGTCTCATGTGATACACATTAGGAATTTTATAAGAAAAATAAAAATTAAATGTCATGAAACATTTTATAGTTCACTACTGTTCACTAATTAGTAAGTGATTTATATGAGAACATGATTACTTTTACTTTAATTAATCTGGTTACCTAAAAATAGAATATTAAGATCAAATTATTTTTACTAATGTTGAGAAAGATAGCTCTATTCAGAGCTGAGACAAACCATTTTCCTATACTGTCTACACAAAGCTAGACACACAGCTGAAATATACAGCATGTTGATAATGGATAAGAAATGATTAGAGACTTTGTGTTCAGTATGACAGTAGAAAAGCATATAGAAACAAAGGAGAAAAGGTTTATGCATTTTTCCTAAATCTATGTGTGTGTGTGTGTATTTGGATACATACTTTACATGCCTGCACACACATTCACATGCAGACACAAGCACACACACTCATCTGTATTCTCAGGAAGACACAAAGCTGGCTACTACATAACTGTTATTTGATGAACATTTTCTGAATGCACTGCATGCAATTATTATTGGTATTATGTTTCACATTTCTGTAAGCACCAACATCATGCTCTGAGCCATGCAGAATGACGGAACAGTACATCACATCTGCCCTGTAGGCTCACAATCTCAAGTCAAGAAACTGACAAATATGCTAAGCCTGGGGAAAGGGGGAGAAAGACGGGGACTAGTATTGGGCAGAGATTAGGAATATATAATACCACAGAATTCGTTTCAATCATCTTCGGTTCTTTGTTGTGATTTAGCTTTAGTTTCAGACAAAAGAAATATATCATTAGTGGACCTTTGTGAAACAGAAACATAAATAAGGGAATGAGGAAATAACTCAATGTGTAATTAGTTGAATGTTCTTAGCAGTAAGGCACATATATAAAATTATATGACTATAGGAGTGAAATAAATGAGTAGAAGTGACAAATGATATTGAAAATACACCAAAAGAAAGTTAGAGTGGGGCAAATATAAGCAAGGAAGACCTGTGGCTATGTCTGAAAGACTATAGGAAATATATGCTTATTTATTTATGGGAGTCAAAGAAAGTCAGTCATTTTAGAAGATGATTTCCATATATGTGCTTGTGCATATATCTAAAGACTCATTTAGAATGTTCCTGAGAACCTATGACCTTACTGAGGGGTGGGTCAGTTTAGTTCTCCATGCCTGTGTTCGCCTTAGCTCGGACTGTTAAAATAAGTAAATATATACAAGATATCTTGAGGCCATCTTACCTGCACCCATACCTTTTTGTTAATTGTGAACTGCTACCTAATCATTACGTGTGATATGTTTTTGCTCTGCTTTCGGGATGTTCAATTTTGCTAAATCAAAATAAAAATTTGTTTATCATGAGTCATAGACATGCTGTTGTGAGAAGAATTTATATTTTCAAAAAGACAGGTTATAACATGGAGGCACATTCAAATGCCTAATTTGTTTTTCTTTCATGCCCATTATGTTTTCTTTCTTTTCAAAGAAGAGAGAAACAAAAGCACCGGCTGAAATAATAGTAATAATAATAAAATAACAATCTCTGTCATTTTTGCTAGCCATTAGCAAACTACTGACTCCATCATTATTCAATTTCAATCAGGTCACGTTGAGTCAATAAGAGTTCTTGATTGTTGTGGGTGCTGTAGAGAGCAACAAGAAACAAATTCTCTGAAAATCTAATCATTCAGGATGTAGTGTGTTGACTAAAGCCAGACTTCTATTAGTTAAGCATTACATCAGCGATTAAAAGTCTTTTGGGGTGTGGAATCGGGCAGCGTCACTGGAGCTGAGAGCCAATCTGTGAGGGCTCCTAGGGCAGGCACATTCGTCCCTCACTGCTATTGCAACTTTGGCCCATGCTGCCCCATATTAGTGCCTGCTGCAGTTTTAAGAACATCAGAACCCATCGGCCAACCTCCAGGGAGGCACCCCTCTCCCTGGTTGCTTAGGGCCGAAAACCCCGACCCTCATGTTTTTAAAGAGAATTGGAATCCTATGTGAATAAGGTGAGGAAAAGATGCAAATATATAAATATATATATATTTCAAGCATTGTTTTGGTTCTGTTTTGCTTGGAGGTTTTTCTTTTCATTTGTTTTAATAAATTTTATTGTGTATATTTAAGGTATACAAAATGATGTTTTGAGATGCATATATACAGTAAGATGATTACTATAGTGAAGCAAATGAACACATTCATCATCTCACAGAGTTGCCCATTTTCCCCTCTGTGGCAAAAGCAGCTATAATCTACTCATTTAGCAAAAATCCTGAATACAGTCCACTGTAACTCTAAATAATAATGACAGTCCTTATGCTGTATGTTAGAGCTTTAGAATGTTTATTCTACATATCTGTTACTTTTCCTTTAAGCTATATCTTCTCATTTTCTCCAGCCACTCTCAACTCTGGAAACCATGGATTTATTACCTATCTCTGTATATTTGACTTAAAAATTCCATATAGAAAGTTATGCAATATTTTTCTTTCTGTGTCTGGCTCATTTCACTTAGCATATTTTCTCCAGGTCACCTACACTGTGGCAAATTACAAGATCTCCTTCTTTTTTAAGGCTGAATAATATTCCACACACATACACACTACACACACACACACACACACACACACACCCCACAGTTTATTTGTTCATTCTTCTGATGATGGGCACTTAGGTTGATTTTATATCTTGGCTATTGTGAATAATGCTGCATTGAATACAGGAGTGCAGAGATCTTTACAGCTGGAAACTCCGTTTTCTTTTGGTGTATACCCAAAAGGGAAATTATTTTTAATTTCTTTACGAACCTCCATATTATTTTCCATAATGGCTGTGTTTTATGTCTTTGTACCACCTAAAATTCTTTCTGGAAGAAAGGAGAACTATAAAGAAATAAAATTCATAGTCACCTTTGTATCGTCCATAGCATCTTGCACGGGATTGTACTTGTTATAAGATTAATAAGTGTATACTGAATAAATGAAAAACACTGGATGTGGCTTGTTGGAGGTCTAGATAAGGCCTTGATGTGATTGTAATCAATAGCCATTTCACTACAACACACTGCTTCTTCTGTAGGTAGACTTTTCCTCTTTCTTCCCTCAAAATCTATGATAATTCACAAAGTTATCAACAACAACAACAAAAGTTTCATTCATCACTTTTGATCAAATGAAATGCTTCTTCAATTAAAGGGAATGATTAAGTGTTTTTTATTTTTGTCTTCCCATTCTCACTTCAATGACAAAATCTAAAGTTTTCAGTAACAATGAAGAAAAAGGATTTTAAATTTTTGTTTCTATCTAAAATGGAAATTAAATGCAATAAATAAATATGAAAATATTGATTACTGTATTTCACTAAATCTTATTGCAGACAGTCCTTTATCATTGGGGATTTTATTTTAAAATTGTGAGACGACACAAACATTGAGGGAAAATATTTCCTCAGAGGGCCCTTTTGTTTTTCTTAATCTTAAATTGTTTAATGCTAAATTTGTTTGATATTTTGAGATTCATTCAGCATCAACAGCATCCTTGGGTCCATTTTGTTTTTTTTAATTAAATCTATGTAATGTTAAATTACTTGCCTTTGAAAGCTTCAAGACATTCAGCAACAGCACTCAAGCTGTTTAAATATGACCAAATAATCTTTTCACTATGTCATTATGTTTGCTGAGTTTATTTCTTTAACTTTTTGCCTCTTGGTGTTTATCTTATTTTAGAAAAATTAATTTAGGAGTCTACACATGAAATTCCTTATAATCCATCTCATCGCGAGTAGATTGAAATTCAACCAGTGTCTTACTTAGGGTTTATTTTACAAAATAAGTGGAATTCACTGGTAATCTTCAGAGTGTTTCTCTATACTGTTAATCAGCTAAACATAACCATCAATTATAAATGCAAATTTTCAGGGTTAAATTGAGTGTTCAGATGCTCTAACGTAGCTTTTATTGGCTGTACATTGCCAAGTCTACACAACACAAAATAAAGTGTTGGGTTAATATTTATTTTTGAATTGGTGCTCTACAGAGATCTAATATGGGGGTAATTCAGGTCAAGAAAAAAGAAATAAGGATGCTACAAAGGCAATAAGAAGAGTTTTTTATTTGCGTATTTTTGCATGAATTATCTGGATTATGTCAACCGTGTAGACGTCTGTCTAGGAGTAGGTTCTGGGAAGTTTATTCAAATGTTGACATTTGCAGAGAATACTAACATGAAGACAGTCCAGAAATCAAGAAAACAAATTTTCACATGTGAGAAAAAGAAAAAATCATGGAAATTTTAGACTATTTTTATGTAGATTCATTGTCCACAATTTTCTGGTGGAAGCCTAATTAATAATCCATTTTCCTATTGAAATTTTATAAAGAAAAATAGGCAGAGCTTAATATACAGGTCAATGTTTTCCTTTTTTTATCAACATCTCCAGAATGAAAATCATTTGTAAGCTTTACTAGCAGTACACCATAGTGACAGGCTTCCAAACAAGGAGAAATTATTTATTAGCTCACAATGTTTTTCCAGCCTTCCCTACCACCCCACCCTGAGGTGGTGTATAGGTTGTGCAATGAATAAATTAAGTATATTTCCTGCCTTGTGCTTGGCATAAATCATTACTTTTCCAGGTCCAAAGAGTGAGTGACTATTTGCAACACTATTCTGAGCTAAATAAGCTTTGTAATCAAGTAGAGTGGAGAATTTACTTTATTTTTTTAAAATATTTATTTGCAAGACAACTCTTATGAGTAAAATCACACTTTCTAATGGGAAAATAAAACAGCCTTAAAAAGAACAAGAGAATTAATCAATGCAAAATCAAATTGGCCTACTGAATTTTAACTTAATGTAAAGGTTTTTTTCCCTTTGGTTAAAATGACAGCTTTTACACAAAACAGAACATATCCATAATGTTATTTTTGTTATAATTATTGCAGTTAATATCTCAACTTACAAGGAGGACTTGCTTCGCAAAGATAGTCACACACATGTAAAATGTATCTTATTTCATAATGTGCTGTTTCATGTATTCCCAAGGAGACTGACTATTACTGAAGAATATATTTTAATGTGGGACCGTTGAGTAAATGCTTTAAGGGAAGACAATTAAGCCACTAGTCAATGATGTATATTTACACATTACATTTTATAGCCGTTTTACATCTTAATAAACTAAAACAAATGACATTTTCCCTTTAACAGAGATTTTAGGAAAAATAAAGATCACAGTCTCCTCTCCAGCTCCTTTCAAGCTCCAGGCATTAATGAGATTTTCGAATCAGAGCAACAGATGCAAGCAGTACGTTGCACCACAAGCAAGGCAAAAAGGGTCTAGAACTTGTTTTTTTCATCCACACTAAATCTTGGATAGATGTGGAGCAGAATGATTCTCCAAAGTAGAATGTGGGTCATGGGGTGAATATTTATCAGAAATAATAATAATAATGACTAACTTAAAGCTGATTCAAAAATTAAGTTAGTAACATAAATTCAATGATATGGCACCACTAAAAATGATGTCAATGATAAATTTATGAACATGGAAATGTGCCCATAATGTATTTTATCTGGACAAAACTAGTTACAAAAACCAGTATGTGCATTAGAATATAACTTTTTGAAATTTTCACAGACTTGCAGAAGTAAATGTGATAGGAGACATTCCAAGATTTCAACAATATTTATTTCTTAGGTTTGGATGATTATTACTTCTTGCATGCTGTATTTTCTGGTTGTCCTAAAACAACTGGAGTAGAATTGCTTCAGTAATAAAAACTAAGTTACTTTGAAATTTTGAAGCACATGTTAATTTTAGAATGTTTTCTTCACAGTTTAGCATCAGAAGGACTTTCCAAATTACCAATATTTTATTGGTAACATTAGCAAAGCATTCTTTTACTTCTATACTAACATATTCATTTGTTTTGTCATCCATTTATTTGTTCTTCAAATATGCATATGTTAACTGCTGTGCCGGGCAGCTGTGGAACAGCATTGAAAATAAACAGGCATTGGTCATACCCTCATGGAGCTTCGGTCTAGCTTTGGTTAGGATGTTATTCTCTAGTTCTATGGAATTTTATAGACACTACTCTGTATTTAATTTATGAATTCCACTCCTGAATTTTTATCTAGCATAATATGAGAGATATTTTCCTTATTAGTCTAGCGTAGTGTCCTTGAGACTCAAATGATGTTAAGGAAAGAGTGTGTGTGTGCGTGTGTCTTTGTGTGTGTTTGTGTGTCTGTTTATGCTTATCTGATGCATTCTCAAAGAAGAGCAACAAAGCTGTAACAAAGAACTGCATATTAACAGTTCACAGGTACTGAAACTTAAAAACAAGATAAAATTTTAACTGAACCCGATGTTTAGATACTATTTCAGACTCCATGAGGAGAAAAACAGAAATATGAGCAATGACATGACTAGAAATATTTTAATATTTAATCTGTCAACCCAAACATTACAATTCCTTCACATGGATTTTGTGGAAAAGAGTGAGATTAATCCAAGGGCATATTGAATTAAATATTTTAAGGTGACTTCTTAACCAATATACATTATGTTAAACATGCTTAATAGGAAAAATTATGAGGTTTTTTTTACTCTAAATGGTATAACTACAATAATTATTTGTGATTTCTGTTATTACAACAAAGGATAAGCAGAGTTGAATTTCTGAAAAGCTATGGTTTTTAAATTCTAATAAATATCTTCCCATTCAGAGACCCCGGGAAGTTTTCCTTAGGTCATAGAGACGTGCTGTGTTCAGCACACTTGTACCAGAAATAAAAATGAGAGTCACCCTGGGTGGAACCAAGAAGGGAGCTTGTCTGTGGCATGCAGCATTCAAAACAGTGTGCTGCTGCTTCAAACTGTAATCTACCTGGAATTTTCAGTTTGGTAGTATTCAGAAAAGAGTTTAGAGTTTTGTGTGTTTGTTGTTGACTTTTTTTCTTCTTTGGAGAAAAGATATGCTGTGTGCTTAATAAATATTTATACATTGTAATAAATAATACAACACACCTTAGACTAAGACAGTCTGGCAAACAGGTACAAATAATTTACCAGACCACATTTATTTTTCCTTTTTTTTTCCCCAGGACCGCCAGGTTGGTTAGGTTAGAATTTAGGAAAGTGAGAAGAAAATACTCACTGTTGCTGGATAAAAGAGTCATATTAAAAAAAAAAAAAGTGGAACTAGCTCTGGCATCATAAGACTTGACCCTAATTCTCCCAGGATAACTTTAGCACAGCACTTCCAGTCAGCAATTGGCATCTTTTTTTGTTTTGTTTTGTAAATTCCTTGTTAGTCAGCTGTACCACAGTAATTCTTTTGGCCCTCATATTTCTAGTTCTGAAAGAACTAGAAACAAGTTACTACCCAGTCAAGGTACTAATTTAACACACCAGGTTTAGTCTTTAATTAGAGTGCAGTTGAGCACAGAAATCTCAGAATTTATACATGACAAAGAAAAATTTTAGCGAAAACTACTTTTTCAATGGTGCACCCAAGGTAGCAGAGCACAATTCAAAACTTTGTATCTAAATAAAAAAAATTATCCATTCTGTATTCTAGAAAAATATTTTCTCTAAACATAGAGAGATACTCTCTTTACTGTACCACATTCACTTAAAAAAAAAAGTTAGAAGGAGGACTCACTTGATTACTGGTATGATGTCACTGAATGATGAAAGTTCTCAATTCTCTGTCCCAGGCATTCTGCTCTTGGTTAAAATACTATCCAGCATATCGTGTGTTCAATGAACTCTGGATATAAAAGGGAAAAAAAAAAGAAACCAAAAATAGGCTGCCCAAGATAACTCTTGTCCTCCATTTCTACCAGATCCAAGAACCTGCTGTTGACCAGCATTTACCTACAGAGAATTTGGGTGAGGGATCTTAATAAAAATGAAATCCTAATTAGAGCTGACCTTCAATGAATTACCTGCACGTGAAAGGAAAACAGAGAAGTCATTCTACTTTTGTCTGGTCTCTGCAGATTCTTTTCCAGTTAAGAGCGGGAAAGAAATGCTGAAATTAGGATACCGAGTCTGGAGGGTAGGCAGGCTGCAGGAATATCTTCAAAGGATCGTGTTTTTCACCCCTCATATCAGAGCCTTGAAGTGATTTAAAATAATAGGTTTCTTCTTGATTATATGTAATTTAAATATCTCATTAAACGGTAAAAATTCAATATTATGACTTCTCTCTTTTTACAAAAAAGACAATTTTTTCTCAATTGTTAACCTATATGTTATTTTCAACGTGCTACCATACTTTCAACAATTCTCCTTGTTTTGAGGAAAAATTTTGAAATTTTACCACTGAGAGATGATATACAGAAATAAATGGAAATATAAAAATTTTGCAACCAGTATGTCAAGTCTGTGCTTTGAAAAGCATTATCAACCAACTTGAACACCAAATGAGAGACTGGACACTTTAATAAGATGGTGGTGAACATGACAAACACAGGATGCTAGTCCTGATTTTACAAGGTTCTACATATTGAAAAACTCACTCTGTTCTTGGGAACATAAGCAGCGGCATGCACTCATGGACACATTTGAGGCTTACAGTATGGAGCGCAGAACCAACCACTGTTGAGGTTTCAGTCAGATTGGAACCAGAAGTGAGAGCCAGAGGTGGAGTAAGTGGGGAAGTATGGGACACTGTGTCCAAGTGGGTTTTGTGACAGGGGCCACTTTATGGGCCAACGTTGATTCTGGAAGGAAAATGCAGGGCTTTACATTCAGTCTTTCTCAATTTTACTTGTTGGTTTTGACCAGATTTTTAATTTATCCATTACTTGTGTCTTTTTAAAAATTATTATTGGAAAGCAACACCATTACTGCCTAAATTTTAGAAAATGTTGGAAAGTAAAAAAGAAAACTTAATCCCATCATTCAGAGACAGCATCTGAAATGATAGTATGTTTCCATCCAGTCTTTTTTCCTCTGGACTATATATTTATATATACACACATGATATGTATACATATGGTTTAAAAAATGCCTTGGCGCTAATCTTCAAAAGTAGCCGTTCATGGTGGCATAAGCTTCCCTTTATTAAGTCATAACATACATAAAACTTTGTTTTGGTTGTTGAGAATAATGTCACTAAGACTCTTTCAAAATGTAGTTTTCTTACCCAATATAAGCTCTTTATCTTAGGTTTTTCTATCATCTAAAAATTAAACTACTGTCAATATCCAAATGTTAACTTTGGTTGCCCTGTTGATAATATTATTGATCAAGACTGGGTCAAAGAGGGAATGTTGAGGAAAAAAACTAGAAATGGAATTCTTCTTTCTGTTTCTAACCAAGCAATTAATCAAGTCTTGGCAATTTTTATTCAGATATTCTTGTATTATGCTGTTAACATTTACCTGTCATGTCCAAAAGAAAAGTCTGAGAGTCATTGTTTGCCCTAAATGCCTGACTGAAATCAAGTTATACTCTGTCAATGGCATTCTCCTCATCTACCACTCGTTAACCATATCAAAAATGGAAATGAGTTTAGTTTGGCATAACTCATAATGTCATTTGGGAAGAAGGCAGAGGGAGCCGCGCCAACATTAATGTGCACTGTGTGAATCATTTACTTTAATTTCAATTACAGCACCAGGATGAGATATAGGAAACTTTTCCTGTAACTGCTGTAAGCTCTGGGATTTAACTTGGTTAGCAGAACAATTTAGATAGCTTAGGGACCTAAATTTGGAGCCAAGATGTTATGGATAAGGATACAAAATAAATAGTGGTCTATGGTGTCTGCAGGCTTCACAATAGGAGAATTAAAAGCTAGGAGGAAAACGGCAGGACAATCTGTATGGCTGGAGGCTGTAAATTAGCAACTTTTATGAAGGGCATTTTATGAAGAATGGAGTGGATCAAAGATAGCACCAGAGACTAAGTGAAGAGGTCAGAAGACTCTGCACTCATGGGAGATGAGGTAGGCAGCTGAGCACAAGACAATGTATGTTTTCTTTTTTTGTTTTATTTTTGTATCTCAGAGATTTGGGGTTGTCTCTATTTGATCCAGACTCTTATCTTTGTTTGCCAATATCTGAAACTTTTGGCCAGTTTTTCATAACATCTCCTAGAAAATTAGCCACTATATTCTGAATAACTAAGCTGAGTGTATCCTATTTCTCCTTCATAATTTCCCTGTTCCTCTTTAATTGTTCTCCTGCTGGCTTTGCCTCTTCTCTCAGAAGTCTGAAATGTATGTTTTAGCTACACTCTCTACTGGTCAACACTAATCCAACTGGACATTCACTGAGGTCTCTTCTGTCTCAGTACCTACAGTACCTCCTCCTGTTTACAGGACCATGATGGTTAATTTTAGGTGTCAACTTAACTGGGCTAAGAGATACCCTGAGAGCTGATAAAGTATCATTTCTGGGTATAACTGTGAGGGTGTTTCCAGAACAAATGAGCATTTTAATCAGTAGACTGAGTAAAGAATGTCTGCCCTCATCCATGTGAGCAGCCATCATCCCATCCATTGAGGGACTGAATAAAGCAAAAAGGTGAAGGAAGGGCAAATTATTTTTCTCTCTTCTGGAACTGGAACATTCATCTTCTCCTGACCTTGGACATTGGATTTCTTGGTTCCCAGGCCTTCAGACTTCAGAACTTATGCCAGCGGTCCTTCAGTTTCTCAGGCCTACAACTTTAAATTGAAACTTACACAATAAGCTCCCCTAGTTCTTACACCCTCAGACTCAGACAGAATTACATTACCAGCTTCCTGGAGTCTCCAGCTTATAAAAAAAAATTGTGGGATTTCTTGGTCTCTATAATCTCATGAGCCAATCCCCACAATAAATCTCCTTCTATATATCTATGTCTTATTGTTTCTCTTTCTTTGGAGAATCCTGACAAATACAGCACTTTTAAATCTATAGCATTCTACTGGCCACTTTCTTCCCCTGCCACCCTGCCCGCCATGCCCAAGACTTGCTCTGTCACCCAGGCTGGGGTGCAGTGGCACGAACTCAGCTCACTGCAACCTCCACCTCTTGGGTTCAAGCAATTCTTCTGCCTCAGCCTCCCAAGTAGCTGGGATTACAGGTGCCCACCACCACACTCAGCTAATTTTTGTATTTTCAGTAGAGATGGGGTTTCACCAAGTTGGCCAGGCTAGTCTTGAACTCCTGACCTCGCAATCTGACCACCTTGGCCTCTCAAAGTGCTGGGATTACAGGTGTGAGCCACTGCACCCGGCCTCTACTGGCCACTTTCTTATATCCTGAAAATCCAATTTGACCTCAAAGTCATAAGCAATGCAAAGGCACCTAGTATAAGAACATGAGATCAGGGGCCATGTGGATAGTGTTGCATCTGTTTTCAAGACTGTAGTGTGTAACTATTCTGTGATTTGCCAAAGACAATAAAGTAAAAAATTAGCTAGTAATAAAAGCCACAGCTCCCAAATTTCCCCACTAATTTTAGCCTTCTTAACCAGTCTACCTACGTTATTGAATAACAATATATGAATGATGCAAACTACACAGATAGGCAATTTTATTTATTTAGGATATATTTTATGTGTAATGAACATCACTACCTAGTTATGAAAACAAGAACAATATTAAATATACTTTCAAAATACTTAGAGAAACGGTTAATTCAAATTTCATATATTTAACAAAACAGTATCACACTAGTCATCTATCACTGTGGTTGGCAAACTACAGCCATTGGACCAATTCTGCCCCACTGCCTGTTTTTGTGAATAAAGGTTTATTGAAACATAGAAATATGCATTCCTTTTCACATTTTCTATGTCTGCTTTTGTGTTAAAATGGCAGGGTTGAGTGACTCATGCCCCCGGGAAGCCTGAAATATTTATGATGTGCTTCTCTACAGAAAAGGTTTGCCAAGCCCTGGTCTTCCCCATTAGGCTTTACACAAAAATTCAAGTAAGGGAAAATCTCACACATAATGAGAAGGGAATACTTGCATTTGTCTAATTCAAATGGCTCTGTGAGTAGGAGGATGCTCCCTTCGAAAAATGGGATTAGATGGGCCCATTAAAATGTTCCATTTATATACAGGGAATATCTGTCCTTACTCTTTTGTTATGTTTGTAACCACCTTTAAGGAGTCCCATAATTGCCCTTTTACCGCCCCAGAACATTAGTTCTCAAGAACAAACAATATGCTGCACACTGCGCATGGCTCTAGAAAAATAACCATAAAAAAGAGATACTATTATGATCTTTGAGTAGTTACAATTTTACTTACTTTCATCAGATCATTATTTTTGTGACATTTTCTTCATTATCACATCTGCTTCCAAAAGATGTGTGTATTATTACTTCAATATTCCTCATTGTGTTGAGAGATAATACATATCTTCATATTATTGAATTAATTTTATAAAGAGGCCATTAAATAATAGATAACACACATTATCTAATCCAAAACGATTTCCCATTCTTACACAAAATGACCTGGTATCTTCTGCATTTTTGCAAAACAAAATGTGTGGGGAAAGGAATTAACATAAAGTTAATCTGCCAGCATTCATTTAACCAGTGTTTACACAGTACCTGTTCTTAACTGAGAGCGTAGAAAAACAGTAGAGTCAAGATCCCCATCTCTTAGTGTAGGATCAATTGTAGAAAAAAATTGTATCCATAAACACTTCAATAAGAATAGACGGGGAAAGGCAATGTATTTCGCTTTGCATGGTCAGAGGGGGCACACAAGCTCCAAAAGGCAAGAAGACCCCCGTTGATCTAGCAGAGGAAAACACCTAATGTCAAAGTCCTGTTGTGCTTATTTCATTGGCAAAATACCTCAGCAAGGAGAATGTGGGAATTTGAAGCACCTTCCTAACAAAGTGCTGCTGCTGTCATGCTGGCACTGTTCCCAGCCAGCAAAGCCAGGAGGACCAGGATCTTGGCGCTCTACTCTAGATACCTAAGAATGTTACTTTCCCTCCAATGCCTTCTCCACCTCTATAGTTTTAAATGTCTATGATTCTATGATTCCATCCAAGTGATCAAAAGGAATTGCCGAGGTTTAAAATCATACCAGGTCTCATATTTTCAAATATTAGTAAATCGTCAAAGACAGTCATGGCCAGCATTCCTTGTGCTGATGATTTATCATAGGTTTGTATGCCGTGTTGGTCTTGATGCATCTGTTTGACTTATGTTCATCAAATACTTTTGTTTAAAGAGGATTTAAAATCACCTAGTTATTTTCAAATGGCCAATGCGTATATGGTTTATTTACAAATGCTCTTAAGTTCAAATATTCAAAGGTTTCAAGTAAAAATCTTGAAATAAGTTTCACTGCCATTCACTATGTTGAACACACCTTCTCACACAGTTTGCACTATGAAAATAAATAAATGTACAGCAATGGTAGTGGGTACATAAAGAATTGTTACCTAGTTTCATTTGTTCATTCATCTACTCAATTACTACATAATTAATGATCTCCAATTTTGCTTCTCCACCTTCTCCAATAAAAATTTTCCCACTGATTTTTAAAATCTACCTTTAAAATAAATTAATTCATCCATGAATGTCGGATTCTCTACCTTTTCTTTTAAAATGCAGTTATTTGTGGGCAAAGAAACATAATCTTATAAGTGATTAATGAGTGTCTTAATTTTCTGATGATACCAGCTAGATAGTTTCAGAACTTTCCTTTCTCTTCCCTCTGCTACCTATGCCTACCTGCCAAACCTAACAAGACTGTGGTGGGACAGTTTATGTCTCCACTCTCTTACACTTTGGGGTTCTAAAATGTTGTCATTTCGAAACTGTTATATAAATGCTATAACACAGTATAGGGTTGGCTTTTGAGATTGGTTTATTTCATGCACCGTAATACCCCAAACATTTCTCCACATTGTTGCAAATAGTTCTTTCCTTTGTGTTACTGAGTGGTATTCGGTGACGTGGATATACTATACCCTTCATCTGTTGAAAGACAACTGGACTATTTCTAGTTTGGAACTATTCTAAATAAAGCTGCTAAAAAAATGTGTATTTGACATAAACATACGTTTTAAAATTTTTTTCTGGGTTAAATGACCTAGAGTGCGAATGTTGGGTCATATGGTAATTGCATCTTCAGTTTTACAAGAAATTGCCAAAATCGTTTTCAGAGTGGCTGTATTATTTACTTTCCCATGAACAATGTATGAATAATCCAGTTTCACTGCATCCTCACTAGGAATTGATATTGTAACTATTTATGTTGGCTGTATTTTAATCATTGTTAGGTAGAGATATCCTATGGTGATTTTCATTTGCATTTGGTGATGGCTAATTCCTGGGCATCCTTTCATGCGCTTACTTGTCATTTGTTTGTCCTCCTCTTAGTGAAATGTCTCTTCATGCCCTTTGGTCATTTTCTTTTTTTTAATTATTATTATTATTATTATTATTATTATTATGCTTTAAGTTTTAGGATACATGTGCACAATGTGCAGGTTTGTTACATATGTATACATGTGCCATGTTGGTGTGCTGCACCCATTAACTCATCATTTAGCATTAGGTATATCTCCTAATGCTATCCCTCCCCCCTCCCCCCACCCCACAACAGACCCCGGTGTATGATGTTCCCCTTCCTGTGTCCATGTGTTCTCATTGTTCAATTCCCACCTATGAGTGAGAACATGTGGTGTTTGGTTTTTTGTCCTTGCAATAGTTTGCTGAGAATGATGGTTTCCAGCTTCATCCACGTCCCTACAAAGGACATGAACTCATCATTTTTTATGGCTGCATAGTATTCCATGGTGTATATGTGCCACATTTTCTTAATCCCGTCTATCATTGTTGGACATTTGGGTTGGTTCCAAGTCTTTGCTATTGTGAATAGTGTTGCAATAAACATACGTGTGCATGTGTCTTTATAGCAGCGTGATTTATAATCCTTTGGGTATATATGCAGTAATGGGATGGCTGAGTCAAATGATATTTCCAGTTCTAGATCCCTGAGGAATCGCCACATGGACTTCCACAATGGGTCAACTAGTTTACAGTCCCACCAACAGTGTAAAAGTGTTCCTATTTCATTTTCTAATAGGACTGCTTTTTTTTTCTGTTGACTTTTTATAATGTCTTATATTTTCTAGATACAAGTCTTATGTCAGCTACGTGGTGTGCAATATTTTCTCCCAGTTTGTAGGTTGCCTTTCCATCCTCTTCACAGGGCCTTTGACACAGCAAAATCATTTAATTTTGATGAGACTCAATTCATAACTTGCTGCTTTCATGGATTGTGTTTTTGATGTCAAGTCCAAGAATGCTTTGCCAAGTGCCAGATCTCAAAGATTTACTTCTATGTTTTTGCCTAAAAGTTTTACAGTTTTACATTCACTTTTAATCCATGTTCCATTTTGAGTTCATTTTTAGATCAGATATGAGGTTCAACTCAAAGCTTATTTTTTTGCTATGGACATCTAATTGATCCAGCACCCTTGTTGAAATCAAGTTTTCCTTCCTCCACTGAATTCTTTTTTGCATTGTTTTCTCAAAAAAATCAGTTGAACATGTTTGCGTGGGTCATTTTCTAGTTGTCTATTGGATTACACTAATCTATGTGTCTATCCCTGTGCTATATTACACTTGATTACTGTAGCTACCTAATAAGGTAGCTTGTATCTACCTTGATATAAGCTAGAGGGATTTCTTGTACTTTATGCTCATTTGTCAAAGTCATTTTAGCTATTCTTGGGCCAGTCCTTTCCCATATAAATTTTAGAATAAGCTTGTCTATGTCTACATAAAACTATGCTGGGATTTTTAAATAAGCATGACATTTGTCTCTCTTTCTCTGTGTGTGTGTGTGTGTATGTATAAATATGTATGTATGTGTGTGTGTCTGTGATATGTACACACACATATATAACTATATATAATTAATTAAATATATATAGTAATTATATCCCCTGTTTCATTCATGATATTGGTGACTTTTCTATCTTAGGGGTTTATCAATTTTATGAAATTTTTCAAAGAATAATTTATTTCGTTGATTATTCTTTATGTTTTCCTATTTTCCATTTTATTGATTTGATTTTGATTTTTATTATTGTCTTCCTGTTGCTTTGTGTTTATCTTGTTCTTCTTACCTAGTGTTGAGGTGGAAACTAAAATGGCTCGTGCAAATATTGAGTCTTGGAATACCAAAACTTGCAGGGTGGACTGGCAGGCTTGAGACCAGAAGAGTTGATCATACTGATGAATTCTATAGGCAGACTGCTAGGAAATTCCCTCTTGCTTGGGAAGGCCAGGCTTTTTGTTCTATTTGGGCCTTTAGTCAGTTGAATAAGACCTGCCCAAATTATGAATGGCAATCTGCTTAATCAATGTTCATTAATTTGAATATGAATTTCACTCCAAACACCTTGCAAATTAACATCTAAAATTAATCATTACAATCGTGTAATTTTTCTCTCAGCACTGCCTCAGCAGCATTCTACATATTTTGATATCATATGTTTTTATTTTCATTCAATTCTATGTATCTCTAATTCCTTAGGGATTTACTATTTCACCTACAGGTTATTTAGAATGTATCATTTAATCTCTGTGTGTCTAGAACTTATCCCCTTTTCCCTCTGTTTCTGATTTCTGGTTTGATTCCATTATAGTCAGAGAACACACCATATGATTTCAATTCATTTAAATTTGTTGAGGTTTGTTTATGACCCGGGATATGGTCTATCTTGGTAAATATTCTGGGAGCACTTGAAAAAAGTGGCATATTTGTTGCAGTAGAACATTCTACATTTCCTCCTGCCTTTCACTGTTTTAGAAGAGAAGTTTGCTATCCTGATCATTTACGTTTTTACAGGTAATTTGTTATCCTCTTTAGCTACCATTAATATATTTTTCTTTGTCTTTAGTTTTCAGCAATTTCATTACGGTGTGTCATTGTGTGGATGTTTTCTTTTTTTTTAGTTTGTTCTTTTGGGTATTTGCTCATTTTTGTAAATCTGTAGACTTGTGTTTTTCATCACATTTGGAACATTTTCAAAGAATATTTCTTTAAATATTTTTTCAGCTTCACTCTATTTCTCCTCTCATTATGAGATTCCAAGTGGCCCATTAATAGTCTTGCTCTTTTTTTTTCAGTCTATTTTCTCCCTGTTGTTCAAGATGGGTAAGTTTTATTGATCTATCCTCGAGTGAACTGCTCCCATTCCCTGTCATATCCACACTTCTACTGGGCCCATCAGAGAGATTGTGTGTGTATGTGTGTGTTGTGTATGTGGGGGTGGGAAGCAGTGTTATTAAGTTTCAGTTCCCTAATTTTCATTTGGTTCTTTTACATAACATTTGTTTCTTTGCAGGTTGTTTTTAATTTGTTTCCAGAGAATTTGAAACTGCTGGTTGAGGCATTTTTATAATGCCTGCTGTAAGATCCTTGTTAGATGATTCCAACATTGATTTCATCACAGGGTTGACATCAGATAATTGAGTTTTCTCATTCACATTATGATTTTTCTTGTTCCTTGGTATAATGAGTGATTTTCAGTTGTATCTTGTACATTTTGTCTATCATGTTATGATTCTCTGGATCCTATTTACATCATTTAACAGTTAATTATTCTGTCATGTTTAGCACACGTTTGTGGGATGGAGTTCAAATGACAATTTCATTTTTACTGCCTTTATGGTGTTATTTTGGTCTGCTTGGTTTGTCTGATACTGCTCAGATTCCCACTGTTCCCTGATGGTGCCTTCTAAGGGGGCAGAAGGAGCTTCCTGCCATATTTCTGAGGGTCTCTCAGTGGGGGAGGCAGCAGGCCTGCCTGGACAAAGAGGCTTTTCAAGCCAGCCTGCTTATTTTAGCTATGTCTGCCAGCCCTGAAGCTTCCTGGTGGGGGAGTGGAGTCTCAAATTCACGGGAACAGAGGGTCTGTACCCACCACTGCCCATTGGGAGCAGAGAGTGTGGCCGATCCAGGCCTTGCTGTGGTTGTGTTGCCATCTCTCTGTTTGTTTCTAGGGAGGGGACAGGAGTCTCAGGTCTGTGGTCACAAAGGGGCTTCCTTGTCTGGTCCTCTTGTTGTACATGTTCATGGCAAGTACCATATTAAAAGAGTAAATATTTCAATATTTTGATATTTGTAGTAGCACTAAGCCAGGTTGTTTGATCTTGGAAACTCACATTTGGAAGCCTATCCAATCACTTGCTGTTGGTTTTAAGTGTCTATTAACCTTTACAAAGGTGAAGATGATTATATCTAATTTTGGAAACAGAATACTATTGTGTCACTAAGAAATTCCGTGAAATCCAGGGAAAGGAGGTTGACTTGTTTGGGACTTTTTCACTCCAGAATTCCGCCCCTATTCTTGGTCAAAATGACTATCTGTTCAAAATGCTATGAAGATTAAAAGAGAAATCATGAACAGCCTTGCAAAGTCACCATTATATTGCAGGAGACAGAAATTGCCAAATACCTCTTCTGGAAACTAGAGGGAGATACTGAGCATTGGTGGTTCAAACAAAGAATGAGGCAAGTGAGTATCTTATTCAAAGTCATGAAAGAGCAGGACTGCCCCTAGCCCAGAAGAAACTCCACATCCTATCTATCCCCAAGACTCACCCACACTGTTTCTCTGTTTGCCATCATAATACAATATATGTCATAAAAGCAAAGAGGGTTAGTTAAGTTCTTTTTTTCATTTATCAAGGAAAGGACATCCTTAGGAGACCTGGGCCTATCTGATTTTAGGCAAATATTGTTAAGACCTTTTTGTAAGAAACTTATGATGAAAGGCAAGCCATCAGTAATGTCAGAGCATATCAATGCAGCCACCAAAGTTAATTATTAAGTAGTCACTATCAACAAGTATTTAATATTGCCCTGTATTAAAAAAAGAATATGCTTGTAAACGCCAATGTGGGAGGAAATTTATATGAAGTGTGTATAAAAAGATAGTGATCAGGGGAAGTAGAGCTTATAATAGTTCCATTTTTCTTTGATATGCTCTTTAAACACAAACACACACACACATATACACATTCCACAAACTCCATTTAAGTTAATAGAAAATCCCTCATTATATTTTAATGTTGTCTTAAAACGCTTACCTCTTATTTGCATAATACATATTCAGTCTTAGTAAATTAAACACAATAATCACTTATTAAGATAACTTTCCGCAATCTATTTGGCTACTCCAAAAACACATTGTGGTATCAGTAAGGTGCTAAAAATCTTCACACTCTTACTTTTCTTCTCAACCTCCCCCCGCTTTCTTTTACTCTTCTCAATTTAATATGTCTAGATGCAATCACATCACTGCCCTATCCCACCCTGTGCTATGTTAATGAATATTTTATTTCTAAGCCATCTTTGCTGCATTATAAAAACAAAACAAAATGTAATGCAATAGCCACAGGTGAAAATCACTATGTATCCAGATCTTCTGTGATAAGAGAGCATGGTAAACTTCTTTAAGGCAAAGTTCAAAACCTACAGTAGGTCTAGATTTCATTATTAAATTTTGAAGCCAAATATTTTCTTTTTCTATACAATTTTAGTATCCTTCAGAGCTGTATCTTGTTTGTGTTTTTTAAGGCAACTTTCTCTTTGATTGCTGAAGCATTTCACCCTCTCTAACATGTTATACCCAATTGACATATATTTTCTTTTCCATCTTTTCTTCTGAGAACAGGCAGCAAAAATTGTGGTCTAAAGTTCCCTGAGAACAAGGGCATTGATCTCCAGTTGGAGTTTAAGGCCACCTTCCTCTAGTCACTCTCAGCTGTAATTTAAGATATCAGCTCTAAATTATTTAGCGGTGTATAAGTATAAATAATTCACCAGTCAACAACTGAAGTGACAGCCCATTAATCAGCCTGTGAACGTGGGCACAGGTGTCAGGCGTTGGGCTGAGTCCTGATGAGGTCAACACGCTCAGAGTCCTTCTCCTTTCCTTTCCTTCCCTAAGATGTGACCCATCTCGCTTGTGGATTGGGGCTCATATTGAGAGATATGCTCAAGAACTCTAACCTTCAGAGATGGAACCAAACTCTGTTACTAATGTAGATGCAGTATAGATTTTTTGATACTGACCAGTTACTACTGTATTATGATATCACCAAAGGAGATGTGTGGAAAAAAATAAATTGAGGGATAACACTTTACAAGAAAGTTGTGATTTCTTAAATAAAATATGTATGGTAATGTTGAGTGTTTACATTTATTTTTATCTTCTTGTCTAGGCAGTTGGTTTGTAAGTGTTGACTGATTATTTTTTGAGTAGCTACGTTCCCTTCTTTCATCCATGAGTTCTAGTGAAAACATGACAGTTTATTTCCATAACTTTTGGGTGTTTTGTTTATAATTCAGATTGTTGATAGACTTTTCCTCTACAATAAGGTTAGTGCCTCTCCTAAGTCTATTTATCCTGGTGAGAATGTACGGCACTTCCTATAAAAATAATAATTTACATTAGCTTAAAATTTACTCAAATTTTTTACACAGACTGATGAGGATATGCCTTTAATAGAATCGTAGACTGTTTACAAAAGGTGAACTGGTAAATTCCAAATGATTGCATTATTATACAGACCCTTCTTTTAGATAGTAAGATGGAAAGAAGAGAATAATCCACAGAACAGGTATTTACAAAGACCATTCTAATAGTCTCTAACTGTTCCTTGCTTCCTGGTTCTTCTCCATTAAGTCTCTGAAGGCACAAAGCAAGCCCCAAAGTTTGGTTCTGCCCTCCTTTCCCAACAGAACGCTGCAACCCTGTCTCAGCTTCGGGTGTCTCCATGAGAAGGAGCCCCCAAGGGCATGGCGTCTCTCTGCCAGGATGAGCCTTTATGGTCCAGAGCTTCACTCTGACTTTAAGGACCAGAAAAAGATGTTCTTTCCCCAACTCTGAGTCGCATTTAGATAGCTGGGCCATAAATTGCACAGTTTGATTCCAAAGTCTTTCAGCGCTGATACGAATTGGCCCCATTTGCTTATGTAATCACCAATGCTGGTTTTGAGGTGATGTCCGAAGTTCACAATGAAATTTTATTTCCAAGCAGCAACATGAGCCCCCGACTTGGGACAAGTCTCCCCTATCGTCATGTTGCAGTCATCTTTGCCCTTGCTCAAGGAATTCTCACTTAAAGTGAAGCTTTTTTTGAGTCTCGCGCTCTGGCACCCAAGGCTGGAGTGCCGTGGTGCTATCTCGGCTCCCCAAAAGCTCCACCTCCCGGGTTCACACCATTCTCCTGCCTCAGCCTCCCGAGTAGCTCTTTACTCAAGCTCTGCACAGACCCAAATTTTAGTCTATAGAGTTCACCTGTAGTTTCTTCAGGCATAATGATTAGTCATCTGTTCATTGTCTAGTCTACATAACTATCCTTATAAGAACTGATTATGTGCCAAGCAACAAGGAAATTAGTTTGCATAGTGTTACCACTTAATTCCCCTCATAACACAAACATGTTAGCAAAAATGCTCTAGATTACTGAACTAAGTAGTATCAGAGTGGGGATCCAATTTAGGTCTATTGACTCCAATGCTCATGCCCATAAACACCAACGTGTTGCTTCTAGTTCAGTCTAAACACCAGCATCACTTCCTGACTTCCATCTGAGATGCTCCCCTCCTCCCACTTTATTCTTACTGTCCCTCAATTTCCTTCTCCAATGGAGTCACTTTTTTTAGACAAAGCTGATTACTCCAGCCTAAAAATGCCTTTATCTCTGAAATCTGATAATAATTATTGTAGTGATTGATTTGTCTCTTATTAAATATATTTGTGAATCCTTACATGAGAGCGGTCAGGTGCTATTCTGCTCCATATTCAATAGTTCATTTTAGTATAATTTGAAGAAAGACTGTTCTGCACCTAAGTCTGAATTAGACTGCATAACAAATTGCTTTCCTGTATCCTTTGACTCCAAAAGGTAGGTGCTGGTTCCTACAGCTCTTCTCTTCCTCTGGGCCTCTGTTTCCCCAGGGTGGACACTGCTCCTTTAAGATGTCACTGTGCATCAGATTTTTCCTAAAAGTTTTGGGTAACAGGGGAAATCAGTTTGAAGGGTAGCACAGCACAGCAAAACCAGAAGTGTAAAACATATGCTGGGCCTCTTCAACATAAGGATTTCCTTGTGGCAAGTTTCCTTTAGGTTCTTGTTTCTTGCCAACTTCCTGGACCTCTTCTCTCTCCTAATTCTCCCCATACTTTTCTTCTCCTTGAACTTCTCTGCCCTAGTCCCTCTTTCTCTCTCAATCCCTGGTTGCCCATGAAAAGCCTGACACTTCCATTTTAGTGAGCATTTCACATCAGAACTCTCTTTTTTTAGCCTGTTTTACCCCAGCTCTGCCCAGAATCAGAGCTCTTTCAACCAAAATCATCTGTCAAGGACCATACATGGGAGGCCAAGGCAGGTGGATCACTTGAGACCAGGATTTTGAGACCAGCCAGGCCAATGTGGTGAAACCTTGTCTCTACTAAAAATACAAAAATTAGCCAGGTGTGGTGGTGAGCATCTGTAATCCTAGCTACTCGGAAGGGATTACAGGCGCCCACCACCATGCCTGAGGCAGGAGAATCACTTGAACCGGGAGGCGGAGTTTGCAGTGAGCCGAGATTGTGCCATTGCACTCCAGCCTGGGCAATAGAGTGAGACTCCATCTCAAAAAAAAAAAAAAAAAAAAGAACCATACATGTATTTTCATGCATAAAATCAGCCATCTTCATAAAGGATGAATTATGCTGTGCTCTAAAAAGCATACGTTATGGTCAATCAATTATTTGTTGAGTAAAGAAAGGTGTTTTCTTGTACTTACCATTAATTTTAGTATGTAATTAATAATGACGACTTGTATTATAAAGGTATAAAATCTCTCTAACTAGCCTATATCGTTTTTAAAATTACCCATTTTAGAGTTGAGCAATGAGAACACTGGACACAGGGAGGGGAACATCACACACTGGGGTCAGTCAGGGAGTGGGGGGCTAGGGGAGGGATAGCATTAGGAGAAATACTTAATGTAGATGACAGGTTGATGGGTGCCGCAAACTTCCATGGCATGTGTATACCTATGTAACAAACCTGCACGTTCTGCACATGTATCCTATGACTTAAAGTATAATAAAAATAACATAAAATAAAACAAAATAACCCACTTTATACCCATTTGGAAACTTCCAGGACAACTGACTGAAATGGCAGGCCCAGGGTCAAGCAACAGTAGGTTATGTAGATAGTTACTGAATTTTGCTCAGCAAACAATTGCAGTCACCTATTATGCTAAAAGCATTGCTGAAGTAAGCGCAGAGGCTGTAAATACATACAAGAGACACTCATGCCGTTCTTTACATGGGAAGCTTCCCACACCACAATTTTCCCACCCAAGTAAGTCCCAGCTGTCATTAAGCTTCACCTCATGAGCAAGTCTTCTCCTAGGCTCATTTCTATGCCTAGCACTGTGCTACCTCAATTTCTCTATGTCCAGTGCATAGTATAGCATCTGGCACAGAATTGACAATCACCATGTACTTGTTCAATTAATTAAAATAATGATTCCATCTTTCACGAGTTCCCTGCTGTAAATAAAAGCACAGTGGTCTTATCCAAAGAGAAAGCAATAGCAGTCAATTGTGTATTTCTAAGAAGAACATAGCAGCCAATCTTAGCCTTTAGTCAAGCAGACATTGAATGTTTTCGCCAATATAAACTATTGATAGTGTATTTTAAAAATTATTTTGGTTTCTTCTATCGTTAAAATATGTCTCTTGTTTTTTCATTAATTATTCACATCACATATTCAGCAAATTTGGGACATTTATGCCTGAATAGTTGTAAGAAAATATGGTTTATCAATGAAATAAATGGTTACCTGTCCAAATTATATTGTGATTGGTGATAGAGTAGCTGGAGAGAAGCTCTTGTTATATAAGAAAAACTATGAGAATGTTTAGAATATAAAGGGACCATTTCTGGAAAGTTTTAAAACACAGACAGTCACACCATCAAAACTCAAAGTTAGGCAAAATTTTGCACCCAATAACAAGATAAACATCTTAGCAACATTTTTGATTTTTGTAATTATGGCTTTTTTAGCCTATTATTCAAATAAATGAAGAATAACCTTTGTAAATGCATATTAAGCTTTGTAAAATGCATATGATAAATCAGCATTTTTACAAATACATGCTAAGAAGCCTGAGCTTTTAACTATCAAACTTTATTGTGTAATATTTAGGAACATACAAATGTATTGGGTTAGAATCTGTTTAGTTAATAGGTTTATATTTGAAATAGTGGTTTCAGTAACCTGAGTTCTCCCACAGCTACGAAATTCCCCGTGCAATTTTTTTGGCAGGGGTAGTAGCAATTTCTAAGTGTCCATGTATTAGAAATGTCCTCATAGAAATGCTTAGGACTTCCAGGAATGTCCACTTCAATCTTGGGTTTGGTGCCTTACCCTCTGTTCTACATGAAAACATGTCATTTTATTTAAGGGGAATTTTATCTTAATGAACAAGTAATATCTCTTAACGAGCACTCATAGTCTCGGTATATAGCTGAAGGATTTTCTCCCTGTTTTCTCCTTCTTTAAAATATTTTTACTGGCAATTAGCAGTGAATGGATAAGGAGATGAAATCCAACAACTTATGAGTTCAATATTATCAGGCTTCATAAAAACAGTAGGTATTTTTTAAATGTGGAACTTATCCAGACCCCTGAGGACTTATTAATAATCATAGATAGAGGTAACTAAAAATTGATGGTATTATATAACACATATTATATACACTTAATATTAGAGGTCAGTTTGAAATACTGAAAACTCAGGATTTTAGAGTTGTGGAACAGAATCTCAATGTGAAGAGGACTCTGAAGACAGAAAAGGCAGGTGAGGCACAGAGGTAGAACCTAAATTCCCCTTTTCTAGAACGTAGAGTCACTTGAACCACTACAAGCACATTCAGTCCATTTGATGAAGTGATAAGAACATCTAGTCACAGATATGCAATTTTTCTCAGAAGTTATCTTTTCTCAAAAAAGTTGACCAAGTACTTACAATTCTATTTACACCATCAATTTATCTCGCATTTGTGTTTTTACAAACACTATGATGGGTGGATATCACCACAGGCAGGCAAAGTTGTCACACATTCTATGTAACTGGCATCAAATTAATCAAATTTGCTCATTTTATGGTCATAGCCATGAAAACATTCATGCCATTCATCAATCCTGCAAAATGTAAAAGTTACTTTTATTCTGTGGTGAAAACTTAGCATGCATTAAACAAAAGATGTTCCAGGGAATCCTAGGCTAACCATTTTTTTTGTAAACTTTCATTGAATAGATTTCATGAGTAATGATGAATTTCTCATTGTTTCAGGGACAAGACTGCATGATATTTCAATAGTACTGCTCCAGACTGAAATAATGCAGTGTGAATGTTGTGATAATGACACGTAGCATATGAAACTCAGGAACTATGAAACAGCAGAAATATTTAATGAGTGAGTTCTACTTTGGAACACAGGGAATAGAAAATATTTCTCCTGTACTTTTAGAACCTAACTCTTTTACAGAATTTATAAGTTTTACAACCCTATTACTAGTTTATAAAATTTTATATTATTTATATTATCCAGTAGGTATTCCCCAAATTGTCTCAATAAATAAATGGAATGCATAATTAAAATGGTTTAAATAAAGACCTCAACTCCTACTTCAAACTAGATGGAGAGGAAGATACAGCTATCGTTCTTTTCATATACATACATGTATATGTAAGCAGATAAATACTTAAAGCAAAGAGCTATATTAGAAAATTCAAGAATATAAACAGTGAATTAAAAGACAAATTTGCCAAAGATTGTTGAAGAATATATCTTGTTAGGCTTCCTGAAAGAAGTATACCATTTATCTTTCTTAGAGTATGCAGGTAAGTACATTATATAACTTAAAAATGAGCACAGTATTCCAAACAATAAAAGAAGTCTGTTTTACCCTATAGCATAATGTTTTAGATTTGGAGGTCTGAAAAACATTTTAAAGGCACGTGTTAATGTGTACATAAAATGTAACAAAAGGAGTGGCAATATAAAATAAAAAAACAAATGTTTCTTTTTTTTTTTTTTTTTTTTTTTTTTGAGACGGAGTTTCACTCTTGTTTCCCAGGCTAGAGTGCAATGGCTCAACCTTGGCTCACTGTAGCATCCGCCTCCTGGGTTCAAGTGATTCTCTTGCCTCAGCCTCTGGAGTAGCTGGGATTACAGACCCTCACCATCATGCTACTAAAAATACAAAACAGTATTTCTAAATGAATTTGTGTTTTCCTGGGGGTTTTGAAACTCACTGGGACCATTTTCATAACAGAAATGTTAGCATGTGTGGAAGGTAAAAATCAGCACAGAGTTTAAGGAAAAGTAAGATGAAAGGGTGGCAAATGCGATCTAATACCCTTCCCGTTGCTGTAAAATCATACGTTGACACTGAAGAGCCAGGATGAATGCAACAACGACAAACTTCTGAAACAGAAAGTGTCCTGCATTTCTACTCTCAATCACAAGGCTGGAAAATAATCAGGATCAAATGTCCTTAATGTAAATGACATGTCTATATATTCTATAAAGGAAGTAAGTTCCTTGAGTGTGTGGTGCATTAAAGAAATTCCCAAACATTAATAAGGTGCTAGCATCATTCAGAGACAGTGAGAGAGAGCGGACAAGGGGAAGGAAGAGATAGGGGGTCGGGGGGAGAGAGAGAGAAAAAAAATATCTCCTATTCTGAGAAGAAAGTATTAGAAGTATAAAATAGCTTCATAAAGCTTACAATTAATTCTTAAAATTCAAGAATCAGCTTTGTGATTGTGCACGGTGGCTCACACCTGTAATCCCAGGATTTTGAGAGGCCAAGGCAGGCAGATCATCTGAGGTCAGGAGTTCTAGACGAGCCTGGCCAACATGGTGAAACACTGTCTCTAACAAAAAATTAAAAATTAGCTGGGCGTGGTGGCGCCTGTAATCCCAGCACTCGGAATGCTGAGGCAGGAGAATAGTTTGAACTCAGGAGACGGAGGACGCAGGGAGCTGAGGTCACACCACTTCACTCCAGCCTAAGCGACAGTGAGACCCTGTCTCAAAAAAAAAAAAAAAAAAAAAAAAAAAAAAAAAAAAAAAAAAGAAGCATCAGTTTTCTGAGAAAAAGACACTGTTATAAGTCAGGAGTTTGGGAGCATATCTTTAGATAAAAAATAGGGAAATAAAAAAATCTATTTATTAGCAAAAACTGAAAACGTGAAAGCATCCTGATTTTGACCCTTGTGCTTAGACTAGCCATCTGGATAGGGAAAACATGGTCCTTATGCTGAATTTAGAGGATATTTTCTGTCTTAATGAAGGACAAATCTTTTTTCATGTGTAGGTCTGTTTGTGGCTTTAATTAGCTCTGCTTTTCTTAGACTACACTTTTTGTAGGTTACCTTTGTGATCTAGGCAATGTCAATGTATCAAAAATGAAGCTACATCATTCGTCAAACCTTAAAATAGAGAATGTCTCAAAATCCATCCTTTCATTGCCATAGCGTCTGACAAGATGTAGCAGTCAAGTTCATGCTGGGAAATACTCATTTATAAATAGAGTAAATGCTCTCTCGCCAAGAATTCATATTTATTAGTGAGTAACTACCAAAAATTTTGAGCACACCTAGAAAATAATGTGTGTTAATTAGCCGGGCGTGGTGGCGGGCGCCTGTAGTCCCAGCTATCGGGAGGCTGAGGCAGGAGAATGGTGTGAACCCGGGAGGCGCAGCTTGCAGTGAGCCGAGATCGCGCCACTGCACTCCAGCCTGGGCGGCAGAGCGAGACGCCGTCTCAAAAATAATAATAATAATAACAATAATAATAATAATAATAATAATAATGTGTGTGACTATAAAAGAAGTAATAATAACTTTAAAACAAATGAACAATAACTGCTGCCTGTCGTCCTTCAAGAGAGTTAGCAAAATTCAGAAAGGGACACATGATGTTTGCCATTTGTAAAAATTGTGGCTTCTTTTTTAGACGTATGGCATAAGCTAAATGTAGTAGAAATTATTTTCAAGAGTCTCTAGGCCATTAGACCTGTCTGTGCTAGGGCTGATAGAGTGGTGATTCCACGTTGTGGTTTGTAGTCAGGCTCAATCAGCTAATGCACACTCGTCCCATCCCAGGATTTGAGGGAGGCAGCAAAGTGCTCTCTAAAGGAACAGAATTTCCTAACATACTCCTTAAAGACATGATCTCAAAAAAAGTATTAAATGGTAGGAAGAATAGATGATCCTATTTTTGACTTAATTTTTGGTTTATATCAGACAAGGAAAGGGCCTTGTGGACTTGACCTTCAAATGATATGTGGTCCCATGTGATACCTTTCATCTCATAGACCTGTCACCACTCTAAAACTGTATCAGCTAGTTCTCCAGCAGAAAACAGGCAACTTAAAGAGATTACCAACCAGACGCTCATGGAGGCCATTTTGCAAAGGAGTGAACTGGTCTGAGAGAAGGAGTGATGAATCACCCAGGAGCCAACAGGAATAGGAGCTGTTACCATGCACAGATCTGGTACCATGCACAGATCTGGAGGCACAATGGCAGGAGCAGTGTGATTAGGATCCAGAGACAGCTGACCTGGAGAAGAGGGTATCTGGGCAAGAGCTGTCAGATCAGATTGCTGTCATCGTCATGCCCTGCTCAGCAAGTGTAAGGAGGGCAGGAAAAAGTGCCCTCACTGCTTCCCCTTCATTCTCTAGACTTCTGCCAGTGCCTCCTGTTGGCCAAAACCTAACTATTGTGTCTCTCCTCGAATGCCTCTCCACTCTCCTTGAAATACAACCTGAAAGTTCAAATATCTGTCAAGGGTCTACCTGAACGAGTTTGTGTCTACCTTTCCAACCATGCCTCTCACACTCCACCCCTGTTGTTCATGATCCTACAGCTGCATTTCATGTTCCTGCTGTTTCTAGAACAGCCCAACTGTCTTCTGTCTAGGGACCTTTCCTGCATATGCTGTTTTCTGTGCCTGAACCAGAACTCTCGTAGAAATTGCTTGGCTGGCTTTTTCTTTTCCAAATGCAACCTTGGAGAGGCCACCTCTGCACATCAACCAAAGTTGGCCTACCCTATTTATGTCCAAGCAGACTACCTAAGTTATTCTCTTCCTGCACCAAAATTACCTTGTTTATCTGTTAACCTGGCTATTGTCTGTCTTTCTTCATTCTAATGTTAGCTCCGTAAAAGCAGAGGCTTTGCCTTTCTTGTTCACAGAGTCTACAACATGATCTAATAGAGGGTAGGAACTCAATAAATGTTTGTTGATTGAATGAATGCATACGTAATTGAATGAAGTGCATTCAGACCAGCTTACCTAGCTCAAAAATGCTTTTAAAGGCCAGGTGTGGTGGCACAGGCCTGGAGCCCTAGCTATTCAAGAGGCTCAGGCAGGAGGATCACTTGAGCCTAATAGTCCAAGTTTGCAGTGAGCCCTGGCCATGCCACTGCGCTCCAAACTGGGCAACAGAGTGAGACCCTGTCTCAACCAAAAAAAGAAAAGAAAGAAAGAAGAAGGAAGGAAGGAAGGACGGAAAGAAGGAGAGAGAGAAAGAAAGAAAGAAAGAAAGAAAGAAAGAAAGAAAGAAAGAAAGAAAGAAAGAAAGAAAGAAGGAAGGAAAGAAGGAAAGAAGGAAAGAAAGAAAGAAAGAAAGAGAGAGAGAGAGAAAGAAAGGAAGGAAGGAAGGAAGGAAGGAAAGAAGGAAGGAAGGAAGGAAGGAAGGAAGGAAGGAAGGAAGGAAGGAAGGAAGGAAATTCTTATAAACATGCAAAACAAGATTAATAGTTATTAAATTTTTTGAAAGGCAGACTCTCGCTCTGTCACCCAGGCTGGAGTGCAGTGGTACCATCACAGCTCACTGCAGTCTCAACCTCATGGGCTCAAGCAATCTTCCTAACATACTCCTTAAAGACATGATCTCAAAAAAAAGTATTAAATGGTAGGAAGAATAGACGATCCTATTGTTGACTTAATTTTTGGTTTATATCAGAAAAGGAAAGGGCCTTGTGGACTTGATGATTTTAAAAAGGAGAGTTTCCCTACCCAAGCTCTCTTCTCTTGTCTGCCACCATCTGAGATGTGCCTTTCACCTTGCTCCATGATTGTGAGGCCTCCCCAGCCATGCGGAACTGTACTTCTAATAAACCTCTTTCTTTTGTAAATTGCCTAGTCTTGGGTAAGTCTTTATCAGCAGCGTGGAAACAGGGTAATAAATGTATGTTGTCAATTTTTATATTGGGATGCTTGAACTTATTATTATGGATCTGAAATAACTTTTTACATTACAAGGATTAAACCTTTCTTACATATTTTTAGTATGTGAAAGAAGGTATCCCATGTAGGTACTTTTGGCTATATAACTTAACATATTTTTATATCACAAAGCTTTCACAATTTTATATAGTCAAATTAATATTTTCATTTATAGATTCACCTGGGTGGTATGCTTAGGAAGCCCTCCCTCACAATAAGAGCATGTTAATATTCACCTGTGTTTTTTAGTTTGTATTGTTTATTTTTACATTTAATACTTAGTCCATGTGGACTATTATTTATTTACATTTAACACAGCTGCTTCTACATTGTTTCATTTGTTTTATTCTAGGATAGGCTCAGTTATTGAATTGTAATGTGTGTCTTCCATTCTAAATTCAACATTTCCTCAATATCTAGGACTATCCATCTGATAGCTAAGCTAAGACTCCTGTGAGAAATGACAAATAAGACATGGCCTACTTTTAAGAAGTAACCAATTTATTAATAGTTTTAGGGAAATATAGATTGACCAGTATAACAACTACACTATAAATATGGATTCATCAAAGCATTGAACTGGATCTTAATTACATGTAGTGTTTCAAAAGGAAAAAAAATGTAGTAATAGACATTCTAGGCAGAGAAAAGATACTCTTTTAGAGTTTTTTTTTTTAAGGCAAACCACAATTTCTAACATAATTTAATGTATTGACATCAGAGGGGAAGAAAGTTTTCTAGTTTTAAAATCATCGCCCTCTGATATGTTGTCTCTGTCTCATGATACCATCTGTGTTTGTATTCATGTATGTATTCATTACATAACTACTCACCCAATAGGGATTTATCCAGTCTCATAATTTTTTTAATAAATCACTTTGCTTTAAAAAGTTATCCCAAGAATTCTGAGACGGTTCATTTCAATGTTTCTCTTCATTTGTCTCTTATTGTTACTATATTTGACTCTCATTCAGTCCTCAAACCTCCTTACTGCCTTAGTCAGTAGGGTTCACAATGAGATTTCACAGAGTAAGGATCTATCTTGGGTCATTAACAGTAAGTTGGCTATAAAGCCATCTGAGTTTTTTTCATGATCAAAAAGTTGTACTGGCTGCAAGATTATAAGGCAGCAAGAAAGCTATGCTGACAACTGCAGAAAGTATTTCATAGAGATAAAAAAAACTCATCATTTTTCGCAAGCTGACTCTCTTTTGCTCAACCTATATTGTAAGCTTGTATTGTTCTCACGCCCAAGCAATGAATGTATGTTGATGCCTTTTTCTCCTTTAAGAAATACATTCCCATCTGAGTTCTGTTTGTCACAAATGTTTAGACACACAGCTGTCTATCTGTAGTGGTTCTGCATACTTGTATATTGAAGAATGCATTCCAGTAAATGTTCTTTATAAGCCAACAGTACAGCCTGTTCCTTTGTTCCTGACTTGAGTCCCAAGATTTCTTAACTTTAAGGAATTGTTACTTCTGCATATGACTAATGGAAAACAGCAATCCTAAGATGACTTGGAAATCATAACCTAGAGCTAAAAAAAAATTGTCATTTTAACACGCTAAAATTCCCAATACTCCTTCACTAGTTGCTGCTGCAAAGACAGTACTTCTGTAACGAATAATACATGATTGAGGGTGTGGGGAAAGACACAGATGTTCTGTAACAAGGGGTAAGGGGAAATAAAACTGTATAAATGCTATAATGCTTTTGTGTAATAGTGCACACTTTCAAAGTAGGAGGACAGTCAGCAAGCCTATTGCAAACTGCTAAATATCCATACGGTGTCCCAGGGAGACCCATCAGCAGAGGTTCAGGTAAATGTGCAGCAAAGGCTCTCATGCCTGGAATGAAATAAGAGGAAAAATATTATAATTTAAACTTTTAAAATTTGATATGATAGCTGTAAAAAGAAACCATTTTAGAGTTCTTGTTTTCAGGGAACAGAAATCACTGTGGGTTATGGCTGGCTGTCTTCAAATAAATTAGTTGAAGGAAAATAGTGGGATAAAGCGATGTACAGGAGACTGGATACTAAGTGTGGGAAATAGTCAGGATACCAAGACCCTGTTGATGGGCAGGCAGGAGGAATCCAGTAAAGACAGGAGCAGAGGTCTGCACTGGTGCTGCAGAGCCATGCCACCCAGCTACCTCCTCCCACTCACTCTGTGCCCAGGTCTTCAGTGATGCCTGCCCAACAAGCCTCTTCTATTCCCCTCTGCAGTTCACGCTCACATTCTCGACAGAAGTTATTTCTCATCTTCTCTATTCTCCTAAGCTCAATGATGCTGCACTAGTTTTAGCCACCTCTACAGGTTGAGGGAGCACAGTCCACACAAGACCAGTCTCAATTCTGACACCAAGTCCAAGTTCAAGGAGCTCCCGAGAAATCCCAAGCTTCAATAATTCACTAGAGGGCTGCTCACAGAAGTCACAGAAACTGTAACACTCATGGTTGTGGTTCTCATGGGGAAAGGATACAGATTACAATCAGCCAAGGGAAGAATTGCTTAGGGCATGGGCTGAGAAAGAAACGACATGGAACTTCCATTGTCCTCTCCCCATGGAACTGAGACATGGTACTTTTCCAGTAGCGATGTGTGACCATACACACAGATATTGCCAACCAAGGAAGCTCACCTCAAATCTAGAATCTTTAACAGGCCCCTATCACATCAGTGTGACTGATTGTTCCGTTGTTCATGTGTTTGATCTCAGTCTACAGGATAGACTAACACCATATGACCCAAAGAACCCACCACCCTAGCTCACATTTTCAGTCTCTCTGGCATTGCCAGTCCCTACTCTAAATCATATTGTTAGACTATCTAACGTGGGTCAAGGCCCTAGGCAAATAAAGACATTTCTGCCAGGCATGAGATTCCAAAAGTTTAAAGATTACCACCCAAGGCCAAGAGCAAATGTCAGACCTCTTTGGGGTCTAAGATTAAACTCTTTACAACACAGTTGCCACCTTTGACCTTACTTTCAGTGGTTGTCTTCATTTTCTAACTCAAAGAGGATAGAAGCAATGAGACAGAAGAGTCTTCAAGCCTCACTCATCAAAAACACCCCATTATTTGCATTTGCATACGCCCTGTTCTCTGAACCTCCTCTTAAAACAGATGAGAATCTTTCTTCCTTTCTAAAACTAATCTCTGTACTTGTGCTCTCAATTCTATCCCCTGATGCTTTTTCAGGAACTTCATTCTTATGACAAATGCCTTCTCTTTCCTTTACGCTCAGTCTTCCTCTCTGTATTCACACTTTTCATTGACATTTAAATATGCTCATGTCTTCCAACATAAATATAAAATTTTCCCAATCCCCACTACCATCTTCTGCTAGCATCTTCAGCTGCTGCCCTCTGCACCTACACTGCCTTTTCTTTTACTTTTTTTTCTTTTTTATTTCCATAGATTATTGGGGAACAGGTGGTGTGTGGTTACAAGACTAAGTTCATTAGTGATGATTTGTGAGATTTTGGTACTGCCTTTTCTAAGGTTACCAGTGCCTTCCTTAGTGTAAAACTAATGGCACTTCTCAGTTTTATCAATGCAAATCTCTTAGCAACTCTGAAAGTGTTTTCACATTCGAGAAACACTGCTTTATCTTCTTCCCTACAAAATGCTCTGTCTTCAGTTTTCTGGCTCTTTCTCCTCAAATTTGTGACCATTCCCCCACCCCCCCACTCCCCGCCTTTTCTTTTAGCATCCCTCAAATGCCAGAGTAGTGACTGCTCTGAACATTCAGTTGGACTCTCTCTGCCCTCTGTTCTGGGCAATTTCATCTATTTTCACGGCTTCCATTCCCATTCAAACTTCCATCCTCAAATATTTCTCAAGCTCTGGATTTGCTCAGCTTCTTGAATCTCTCTTCCTGGGTAACAGATAAGCTCTTCAAACTTAATATTCCAAACTAAATCATAATCTCCATTCTCTCTTCTGCAACTCATGCCAATTCTGTTACTCTTCTTATGCAGTCAGCCTTAGAAATGGATACCAGCAAACTTCATTGCCCAGAGTAGAAACCTGGGAATCCTGTTTGATGAGCCCCTCTCCCTCCACAGAAAATGACTCATGTCACACTGTTGATTCTATGCTTTTGAAAGAACGGAAGAACTCATCTCCATTCCCATTCCCACCATGCTGGGTCAGTCCTACATTTTGTGTCTGTGTATTGCAAAAACAATCACTTTCTTTTATTATCTGCCTCCTGTCTTACCAGGAACTGTTTTCCTCTGTTCTTGCTCCCCAGTGAGACAAAGTTTCCTTGCTAAAATGCAAAGTTTTATGTCATTCTGCTGCTTCGTTACTTCAATCATTTCAGTGACATTTCTCTTAGGATGAAGTCTAAGATCCTTAGTGTGACCCAAAGGACAGTTGTGTTTCTTTCCTACCTCCTCAATGTTTCCATCTCACTTTGTGCCTCTTTATAAATCTACAACTCTGCCCTATGCCCCCATGCTGCCACCTCTTCAGCTTTGAGTATTCCATGCTCCCACTTCAGGCCTTTGTCTATGCCTGCCTAACACCCATTCAGTTGTCGGCTCTAAACTTGGAATCAATTATCCTGGGAAGCAGTCTTCACTTCCCTGAGCCTGAATTGAGCTAGGTGCTCACAAATCTCTGTCCCTTAGCCTTTATTCACTATATTGGAATTGCTTGCCTTGTCTGTTACATTGGATGTTTTATGATGATAGATGCACTGTAACTTTTGAGCACTACTGCATTTTCATTAATTTAGCATTGTGTTTAACACATAGTAGCTACCTGAGAAGGTGAGTGGACAGAAATAGGCTGGAAATGAAAATTAAGACTTAGTTGTGAAAGAACTCGCATGCCAGGCTGCTGACTTTGTCCATGGAAGCATCAAAGAAGGAAAGTCCATGAAAGCCTTTGGAAAAACTGTAACATCATGAGACCTTACATGTTCAAAATGACCACAATGTCAAATCCAGAAAGCACATACCTATTTTTTTCTAACTTTTCTCTATAATTTTTGCTGGCTTATGCATTATAAAGTGCCTTTTGCTCCCTTTGGTTACAGAGATTCCAGGTAGATCCACGGAATGTGTTCCATGAAATCCACTGATCCATTGAAATCCATGAATGCTTTCCTCTGCAAGATTTCTCTAGCCATAGTTTATATTAGTCTTTGCTTTAACAACTTGAGCATTATGTTACGTTAGAGTTTACAAAGCACTTCCAAATGAAAGGTTCATGTCATCATTGTGACAGCTCTGAGAATGCCCATTGGAGGATAAAATGAATGAGGCCAGAGACTTTAGAGACATGCTGGCCCATAGACAAATGCTAATGGAAGTGAATCTTGCTAGGGCACACACATTATTAAGTTGGACCCTATGAAATTGCCATTTTTGTATGTAAAAAAATGATTGAATATTGGCAATTTCATACCCTTCAACCTAATACATCTTGAAATAATTAAGTGACTAAATAACACAATTTACACATAACCAATTGTCAAAATGAGTGACAAATGTAATAAATGTTATGGACAGACAGTAATTACATCAGCTGAGGATGAGCCTGGAAAAGACTGAGTTATCAATCTTTCCTCCATGACTGTTCACTTATCTTCTCCCTTGTAATGGTACCAACTTTTCTTTATGTCCTGAGTCATGTATATGTTTCGTTTGAAGATCCTGCCATAACACCAAAGACTTTATAGAGTACATTGAAACCAACATCTCCCTATTCAGACCTTCACCATGTCCTTCACTCTTATGGCTCCTAAATCAGAAACTCTAGATTTCTCTGGGCCACATTCTTCTCTCTTTTTTTTTTTTTTTTCCTATGCAAAGTCTGGGATCAAGTCCAAATGAAGTAACTTTGAAATAATTAACACACCGATTTCTTCTTTAAAAATGACTACAGTTTGCATAATTCAACCACACCTTACCCAAATCAGCAGTAAAGCCAGTTTTTAAAATAGCTTCTTCATTGTAGTATGAATGCATGGAAAAAATGCATACATTATGACTACATAGCTCAATACAAAGTTAGCTCAATACTAACAAAGTTAGCAGACACATGTAAACAACACCTAAAGAAGAAAACGTAATATTGCTCATCCTCTAGAATCCCTCTCATGCCTACTCTCAGTCACTAACCTACCTCAGATCATCACTGTCCTATCACCATGAAGTTATTTTGCCTTTTTTGAACTTTATATCAAGATGATTACAGATTATGTACTTTTTGTGCAGAATTGGTCTTTTTGGTCAATATGTTTGTAAAATTTATTCCCAATATTAAGTATTGCAGTGGTTTATCTATTTTTATAGCTTTAGAGTATCCCATTTAATTAACCTACTGGGTTGTTTCCAGTTTCTGGCACTTAGACATCTTCCTGCTATTAACATTTTTGTGCATGTTTTGAGGTACACATATACATGCATTTCTATTGGGTATAAAATCAATAATGGATGATGTAATTCTGCTACCATAGATAATGCACTTATTTCGAAAGTATTTGAAATAATTGAACTATTTTTGCCAACAGTAAGTATTGCTCATCTTATTAATATTAGATATTCTCATGGGAGTAAAATGATATCTCATTATTGTTTTCATTTGTAGTTTTCTAACATGAATGAGGTGGGGCTATTCATATGTTTATTAGTCATTTTGATATCATCTTTATGAAATGCCAACTTAAGTATTTCATCTTTAAAAAAAATTATCTGACCTGACTATTCCTTGTCAATAATTGAGAGTTATATGTTCTGGATGCAAGTCTTTTTTGTTATGTATATATATTTCTGTTGCTAATATTTTCAATCACTCTCTAGTTTTTAAAATCTCTTATTGGTGTCTTTTGATGAATTGAATTTATTAATTCTAATACAACCTTGTTTACCAAACTCTTCATTATGATCAATGGGATGTGTATCTTATTAAAAAATAGTTGTATATCCTCAAGACTTTGAAGATATTTTCCTATGGTATTTTCAAGAAGTTTTATGATTATTCACTTGCATAATTAAATCTGTATTTAACCAGAGTTAATTTGTGTATGGTATGAGTCAGGTTCAAGATTTATTTTTCCCATAAGAATATCAAATTGACCTAGTAACACCCATTAAGAAAACTATCAAAGCTTTGCCCACTACACTGCAGTGTCAATTTTGTGATAAATTAATTGGCCATATATATTTAGGAATATATTTCTGGACTCCTTATTCTATTCCATTGGTCTTTTTGTATACACTTAAGCTAATATTAAGTTATCTTAAATATCATTTATTTTTATCTGGAAATGAAATTCATGAAATGTCCTTCATGATTGCCTTAGTTACTTTTGACCATATACATTTCAATATAAATGTTAGGGTCATCTTTAGAAGTGTTCGAAAAAATTAAACTACTGTAAATACACTTGCTAGAGTTTTTATTGGTATTGTATTTAAAAAGTGACTATAGAGAGAATTAACATCTTTATAATATTCACTGAACTCATGTGCCACAGTCTTGCATATATTTTGGTAAATATATTTGTAGACGTTTCATATTTCTTAGTAATACTCTGAATAGGACTTAAAAATATTTCAACTAATTTCTTATTGAAATAGAGAAATGCAATTGATTTTTTTGGACATTAGCTGTGTATCCACTGAGTTTACTAAATTCACTGAAGACATAGGTTATAGACTTGAAAAATGTTATTTATATACAATAATGCCATCTGCAAAAGTTCACATTTTTATTTTATTTTTTCAAAATTATACATGTCTCTTGTCAATTACACTGAATAGAACCTCCAACCCTCCAACATAATGTTGAATAAAAATGTTGATTCTGAGCTTTTTTTTTTTTTTTTTTTTTTTTTTTTTTTGAGATGGAGTCTCGCTCTGTCACCAGGCTGGAGTGCAGTGGTGCAATCTCGGCTCACTGCAGTCTCTGCCTCCTGGGTTCAAGCGATTCTCCTGCCTCAGCCTCCTGAGTAGCTGGGACTACAGATGCACGCCACCACACCCAGCTAATTTTTGTGTTTTTAGTAGAGACGGGATTTCACCATGTTGACCAGGATGGTCTTGATCTCTTGACCTCATGGTCTCCCAAAGTGCTGGGATTACAGGCATGAGCCACCATGCCCAGCGGATTCTGAGCATTTTTGTCTTTTCCCCAATTTAATTTGGGAAAAGCCATTAATATTCTAGTATAAAGAATAATGTTTGTTTTACTTAGATACCATTTATTAATGGTATTTATTAATTCATCAAATGGTATCATTAGTAAAGATATTCTAAGATACCTTTCTCCCTCAGTTTACTAAAACATATTTTTTGTTTTTTAAAATTAAATTGTAGATGTGCGATGAATGTTTTTCATTTACTTTCCATTGTCTTTCTATCTTTCTCCTTCTGTCTCTTACTTTCTCCTTCTCCTTCTCCTAACCTCTTCTTCTCCTCTCCCTCCAGCCACTGTATCTATTGAAAAGATAGTATAATTTATCTCCTCTCATTGTTCATGTGGTAGATTACATGGATGTTTGTTTATAAAGTTAAATTAACCTAATATTCCCATCTTGATGATGATATATTTTTCTTTATTTATAGATCCCTGAATTCGATTTTGAATATTTCCGGGATTAGTTTTGAATATTTTGTTTCAAATATTTGTTTTGGAGTTTTTCATCTATCTTAGTGAGATCAAAGTGTAATTTTCTTATTCGTTAATGTTCTGGAGAGTTTAAAAGCATCTCATAAAATGAGTTTCAAAAGACTATCCTTTTGCTATTGTCTTCAAAAAGTATAAGATTCATGATATTTCTTTCTTAAATCTTGAGAAGAATTCACCAGTAAAGCTATTTGAGCTTACATTGGTTATTTTGGGGAAAATTTTTAATTACCAATTTAATTTATTTAATAAATGTGGTTTCTCTATATTTTTTATTTCTTCTTTTGTCAGTTTTGGCACATAATTTTTCTAGGAGTATATCTATTTTATGTAAATTGTCAGACTTATTGGCATAGAGATTTTAATAATATTTTCCTTTTATCATTTTAGTAACTGCAGGATCTGTAATGAGAGCCTCTTTTGCATCCTGATATTAGTAATTTATCCCTTCTCTTATTTTTATTTAATAGTCTGAATATTATTTTCTCAACTTATTAGATTTCAGAGAACTAATGACAGCTCTGTTAGAATTCCTCTTTTGCATATTGCATTAGAGCTTTGTTCTGCAGTTGTGCTTTTGCCTCATTTTCCTTTCACTTTCTTTGGATTCAATTTGTTATTAATTTTCTAATTTATTGAGGTGGATATTTTGATTATTGAGATAAAAGCCTTTCTTCTTCCAAGCATATGTATTGAAGGATAAGCATTCCCTTGCAGGTAGGACTTTATTTGTATCTCACAAACTTAATATGTTGCATTTTATTATTATTATATATTATTCAGTTAAAAGTATCTCAAAAATTTTATCTTGATTCTTTCCTAGATCTACGTGCTATTTAAAAGTTACCAAATATTTGTAGAATTCATTAAGTGCCTGTATTAGTCCGTTTTCACACTGCTGATGAAGGCATACCTGAGACTGGGAAGAAAAAGAGATTTAATGGACTTACAGTTCCACATGGCTGGGGAAGCCTCACAATCATGGCAGAAGGCAAGGAGGAGCAAGTCACATCTTACATGGATGGTGGCAGGCAAAGAGAGAGAGAGCTTGTGCAGGGGAACTCCCATTTTTTAAAACCATCATATCTCGTGAGACTTATTCACTATACGAGAACAGCATGGGAAAGACCTGCCCCCATGATTCTATTACCTCCTACTGGGTCCCTTCGACAACACATGGGAATTGTGGGAGTTACAATTCAAGACAAGATTTGGGTGGGGACACAGCCAAACCATATCAGTGCCTTTTTACTCTTGTTTAATCTTGCTCTTGTAAGAGAATATGCCTCCATATAATTTTCATCCTTGTATATCTAATAAATTTTGCTTGTTTTGTCAATATTATGGTCAATTTTTAGAAAGAGTCCATGTTCAACTGAAAAAACGATAGGCTGCAATCGTTGGTTGCAGTGTTCCACGTATGTTGATTAGGTCCATTTCATGAATTATGTTATATGTGTCCTCTATATCTCCATAGATTTGCTCCTGTGATTCTGCCAGTGAATTAGAAAAATGTGTCAAAATCCTTCACAATGTTGTTAAATTACCTTTGTCCTTTTATTCCTCCATTTGATTGATATATCTATAAATATATAGATAGCTACATATAGATATTAATATATTAGATATCTATATCTACATAATATATATTTTTAATGTAAATTATCAGACTTACTGGCATAGACTTTTCAATAATATTTTCCTACTATCATTTTAGTAACTGCAGGATCTGTAATGATAGCCTCTTTTGCATCCTGATCATTAGTAATTTATGCCTTCTCTTCTTTTATTCAGTAGTCTCAATATGATTTTCTCAGCTTACTGAGAAACAAGCAAAACTCTGTGTTTTGATTAGGTCCATTTCATGAATTATGTTATTTGTGTCCTCTATATCTTTACTAATTTTCTCCTGTGATTCTGCCAGTTAGTTAGAACAATGTGTCAAAATTTTACAGGGAGATATTCTCTGACAATATATATATCTTTTTATATATATATAAATGTATAGATCTATATCTTTACAGGTATTTATAGATCTCTATCTAGATATACATATAGATATTTATATAGATATATCTTATCTCCCTATCCAAAAGCTCTGAACAATTTCTATATAGATATTTATATCTATATATCTAGGTATACATATAGATATCTATGTATACAGATATATAGATATTTATAGATATACATTTATAGATATATATTTGTTTTTATAGGTCTATAAATATATATCTATAAATATCTATGTATCTACATATTATATTTATATAATGTCTGTATATAGAAAGATATATGGATGTTATATCTATATTTTATTAATAATATTATAATATAAATAGAATACTATAAATATGATATAAATATTATATATAAATATAAATATAATAGATATTTATTTTCTTATAAATATAAATAGAATAGAATATTATAAATATAATTATAAATATAAAGCTATATATTTACTATATTTATATTATACCTATATCTATATTAGATATATCCACTATCTATATTATATTTTATCTATATTATATAGATGCATATAAAATACAGATATATATTTAACCTGTGTTATCAGTGTATACAAAGTAAGAATTATTATCTTTTCCTGGTGATTGAACCATGAATATACTAGTATTGCATCTTTCTTTAAAGTCTAGTCAGTTTTATATCAATATTTCTAATTAATGTCATACCAGGTTTCTTAGGGACAGGGATTTTAGGGTCTTTTTTTTTTTACATTTAAAGTGTTGATCTCATAAACAGTATATAGTTGTTGTCAATCCAGTCCGATAAGTTTTAATTCTAATTTTGAATTATTTAGCTCATTGGCATTTAATTAATTACATATTTCTGTTTAAGTCTAATATCTTATTATTAGTTTTGTATTTGTCCTGTCTGTACTCTATTGCTTTTTGGCCACTTCTTTCCTTTTCTGTTTTGATTACTCACTTATTTACTTTTTTATCATTCCTTTTTCTCTCTTTGTAAGTTTTTCATTATACAGTTTCTTGTTTTGTTAGCTATCTTAAAACATCAGCATGTATATTTGAAATATTATAGTATGCCTTAAATTAGAATTATTTTCCAATTTCAGGACAGTGCAAAGACTTTAACAGTACATTAATGCAATTTATCTCCTTTTGTCATTTGTGGATTTTGAGAATTTATTTTAATAGTATATATATTAAACCACATAAGACATTTTTCCATAGTACATATTCATGTAGATTTACCGTAACTTTTTGTTCTCTATTTCTTCTTGTATTTCGATGTTTCCATCTGTGATAATTTTTCTTCTGCTTGAAGAATTCTTTCTGTCATTTTTTCAGGTCTGCTGTTTGAAAAGTCCTTCTTTCACTGAAAATAATTTTATTTCATTTTTGAAGGATGATATTTTAGCTGGCTATAGAATTCTAGGTTAAATTATATTATTTTAGATTTTTGAAAAAATCGTTATATCATCTTCTAAATTTAGTTTTTGAGTTGAGAAGTTCGTTATTATCCTTATTGTTGCTCTTTTGAAAGTGATTTGTTTTTTCCCTCCTCTGGAAGTTTTTAGTATGTATTTGGATTTCAACTGCTTTGCTATGATTTGTATCTTTTATAATCGTGTTTCAGATTTGTAGCGTTTCTAGAATCTATTTTTAATTATTTAATTGTTTCTGAAAATTTTTCCAAATCATCCCTGAAAAATTACTCTGTTGCATTTGCCTCTAATTTTTTCCTGGAACTTCAGGAACATGTATATTTTCATGCTCTATGAATTTGTTCCTTTTTTAATATTTCCCACGAGTTTTTCTCTATGCGTTTCAGTGTATATGCTCTACTAAACTATATATGAGTTAACTAATCCTAATCAGTAGTGTTCTATCTACTATTAAACTCATTTTTTTCAGTTTACACTCTTCCTTCTTTATATGTGTTCCATTTTCCTTTTCAAAGTTTACATCTAGTCACACATTTTTATTGTATTAATCACAGAATTTTTATCATCTGTATTTCATAAGAGTAGTTCTTGGATCATCTGTACATCTATTTCTATTGTCTCTTTTTTTTTCTTTTGTTTTTGGTCCTATCTCCATTAATTTTTTAATAAAATTTTGTAGAAAAACTTTATATTAAATATAGCAAAGGTTGAAAATAACGTTTTCCTTCCCTAGAAAACATTTACTTTTGCTTCTCAAGCCTGTTAGAGTAGAAATATTTTACTTTAATCCGGTTTGTGACTGAGCTGATTTGACAGTGAATTTTCATCTTTGTGAGTGCTGGTTCATTTTAAAGCTAGCCTTACCTTTAGGGTGTAGCTCTTCAGTGATCGCAAGCAAAAGTCTACATTGTTTTCAGTTCCTTCCCCATCGATAGCCCCTGGACTCTAATTCTTGTCTCCCTAGTCAAAAGCTCTGATCAATTTCTTACCACCGCTTATAAACAGGTACATGCTATGAAATAAAAAGCAGTATAGATGTTGCACTCTTGTCCCTCTGGAATCCTGATTTCTCAATCTTGACTATAATGACAGATCTGAAATATATTCTTTTCTCAACGCCATGGGACTACCAGAAGCTTTGCTCAGCATCTTTGCTGCTATTCTATCTTAGATTCTCAGTCTGAGAAGTAAATGCCTCCAGAGAAAATGCAGAGCAGAATGTTAATTCACTTTAATGCATTTTCCATTCAGAGACCTTGGCCCCTAAAGCCTTGGCTGCCTACGTGACTCTCCGATTCCATATTTTACCAGATTTTCTAGTTATTCTTGGCAGGAGAGTTGGTTACATCTAAGCCACAGTTTAATACTTTTTTGTGCCAGAAGTAGATTCTAAATTTTAGAGTCACAAGTGAGCTTAGAGATTAATGGCTTCTATGCCCTTTGTGAACTTCTAACCCATATTTTTCCAATATCATTCAGCTCTGACATGAGCACTGTAATGGTAGAAAACATAATTAGGTTCAAATCCTAGTTCTGTAATTTACTAGCGACGCTACCTTTGACTTATTATCTAATTAAGAATCAGTTTTCTCATCTGTAATTTAGGGATAATACAAAGGACCTACCACATAATGCTGCTTTAAGAATTAAATGTAAAAATGCACATAAACTGATTTAGAAATCAGCTTCATGAACATCCTGGTATAAACTTTTGATCTCTGATTTTATGATTTTACTTGAGCATTACAGTGTTGTGAATTTCAGATAACCAACGAATATATTTTTAGTATAATTGCACAATATTCAGGACATATTTACACCTCCCAAAAATCATTTATCTAAATTTCAAATTTAACTGGGCGTCCTATATTTTATCTGACAACCTTATGTTAATTTAAACTGGAATTGTCTTTTTCATTTCCACCCATATGTCTAACTACAACCCCCACCCATCTTCCCTTGTTTCTACTCAAGTCTTTCTTTTCCTATGATTCAAAGACTTTGTAACATCTCCCTCCCCCCAGCCAATAAAAGGTATAAAAAGTCATTAAGAATGTTTTATGTTGATTACATGCTAGATGATTAAATTAATTGTAGGTCTATTTATTTTCTTTTTCATATAACTACAGAAAATACAAAAATTGTGCACACCGCTTACATCATATTTCTATAAGGCAGTGCTGTTCTGGAACACCCTAGGCTCCTTCGTATAGGCTTTTGAGCATGAATCCTTACAGCCTGATGAAATTTAGACCATTTATGAATACAAAGATGAAATTGGTATATCTATGAAGCAGCCCCTTAAGTCTCCCCAAAAGAATTATTCTCTCCCTATCTCTGTTCCTAGAGTATATTATAACTATGCCTACTAAACACATTATTATAGGTGGATAATCAGAGTATAGTTTGTTTCCACCACTAGGGTGAGATTCTCTAAATAAATGAATAAATGCTTTAATGATGCTGATTAATTAGTGGATTATGTAAGTGAATTGTCTGTTACCTTTGGCTCAATATTTGGAAAATTCATTTGATTAATAAATGCTTCCATTTATCTTATGAAAGAATATTCTGCTTTACCCCTCTCTTTTCCTTTTGACTCTATAACCTCTTGCATTGTCTTAAAATAGATTCTGACCTGGATGATTGAAACATTTCCCTTCTGTACTTGCTTTCTGTCCCCGGAACTAGTCTTCTGTGCTTTGAATGTTATCTTCTTCATTTTATTTTTGTTCCTTGCCGGAATTTTCTTTTACTTCTTTTTTTTTTTTTTTTTTTTTTTTGTGTGTGTGTGTGTGTGTGTGTGTGTGTGTGTTGGAGTCTCACTTTGCTGCCCAAGCTGGAGTGCAGTGGCATGATCTCGGCTCACTGCAACCTCTGCATCCTTGGTTTAAGTGATTCTCGTGCCTCAGCCTCCTGAGTAACAGGGATTACAGACATGTGCCACCACACCTGCCCAATTTTTGTATTTTTAGTAGAGATGAGGTTTCACCATGTTTGCTAAGCTGATCTCGATCTCCTGACCTCAAGTGATCCACCCACATCAACCCCACAAAGTGTTTGGATTAAGGCCTGAGCCACCATGCCCGGCCATCCTCAATTTTCGCAGGCACTTTCCTGTGCCTTGTGCCTAAGGCCCCTGCTCAGTGGAGTTCATCAAAATACCCCTTTTCACGTAGCTGGTTCCTCATGCTTAGATGATCTAAATTACACAAGATTAAGTTGTCCTTCTATTACTTTTATCTGCTGGGCTGCAACTCCCAGACTATATTCTCTTATCCTCCCTGCCTCTGACTCCTTGATCAACATAGAAGTTCACACACACACACACATTTTTAACTTCAAATCTATGAGACATACCTATTTTAGTAATCATCTAAAGGGCCATAAATTTAAATTATTTCATAGAGAAACTTTCAATTATTTAAATTATTTCATAGAGAATTTTAGCTTTGTGGATTTAATTTAACTTATATTTGTTTTCTCATATTTGGGACATTTGTCTAATAGAAGTACTTTAAAAGTCAGGTGGAATAATACATAATGAATTTTTGTTAGTAAAGCCAATGAATGAAAATCATGAGAAATTAATTTGTAAGTAAAAAGTGCATTTAAAATGTTCAATTATTTGTTTATGTTTCAATAGGCAAGGTTTTTTTGTCTTTATGGTTTTTTATTTTAAAATGAGATTCTTCCACATCTTTATGGGTGGGGACTAGGGGATAGGGATGCAAATATATCTACAAAAATAAGACCTAGTTCTTGTATTCTGCAAGATAATAATTCATTTGATGAGATAAGATATTAAGCAAATAAAAATGAAATATCACCATGTGGAATGGAATGGGCGTTATGAAAAATAGTGCTCTGACCACAAATAAGGGTAGAAAATGAAGCCTCATCTAGCAGGAACTATTCAGAAAGGCTTTGTGGAGGATGAGGGGCTTCAGTGGGGTGTTTCTGTAACTAAGGGTGAAGATGGCATTCTAAGAAGGGAAATAGCACACAAAAGAGGCAGGGAAGCCATTGAGGACAACACATATCTGGGAGCAGGCAAGAGTAAGGTATGAGTTGGGTGTGTGCAAGGACGGGAAGGACCTAGAGACAGAATTAGGGAGCTGCTGAGAATGCAAGGTCTCGGAGTTTGAACTTGATCCTGTGTGCAGGCAGTGGAGAACTGCTGGAGAATATTGATCAGGGATGGGATACAAGGAGAAGGAGTGTAAGAGGAACCGCCGGGAGGGAGACACAGCTTGGAGGGAGCTGAGGGCAGCTTACCCATGTGGTAAGTGATTCAAAGAACAAGTGCCAGCACTGTGTCTGGACACACTGAAGACTTATTAATCTCAAAATGTATTGTGCTCAGATTTGTTGAACAGACATAAGTTGAATTAGTAATCAATAATTAATCTGAAAAATCAACAGTTGAATGGAAAATATTCGGCACAATATTCCAGCACTATTTTTGGAGGAGATGAATGAAAGAATACGAGAGTGGCTCTACATGACTATTTGGTATCTGAAACTTCAAAAATGTTTTTGTATAAAGACTGGATATTCAATATACAGATTCCATCTTATTTGAGAGCATTTTATTCCCTTGAATGTGAATTGAAGGTGGCCAAAGCTGCAGGCAAAAACTAGAGGTTTTATCTAGAGAGACTACATTCATAGGTAAAGAGTTCTATATCAAATGAAAGTAGGTAGAGCATCGAACCTTTAAAAATTTCCTGGTGTTATATAAATTCAGTCGGCTGATTTCACAAGTTTCAGAAAATCAGTGGAACCAAAGGGTTCTTGTCCCGATCAAAACTCAGGTCAGCTTCTGGTTCCCTAGGAACTACAAGTAGATACACTGTCCAGGCCTGCTTGGTATTTCACGCATGTTAGGCAGCCAGGAAGCAGTTAAAAGCGCTGTCCACTGGCTTACAGTTAGTGTGGATATCTTATCACTGTTTTGGCCCTTTTTTCCTATTGTGAAAAAAGGCACAGGGCATTTCATTATGTTAATGGGGCATCAGAGACACAAATAAAAAAAAGCACTTGGTTCATACTGAGTACCTGTGAGAAGAGAATATTTTTAAATATCTGTAGGTGGTTCACTAACACAGGTAATTGAGTTTCAACATATTTCTCCTTTGAGCCCTTCTCCTGGATGTTCTGTCATCCTGTTAAGTAAGGTGGGAAATAAGAAGTGAAACCTTTTAAGGAAGTATTACCTTCCTTAGCTTGATCCTCTAAAAAAGTACTTTGTTAACTTGCTTAATGCTCCCTTTTATAGAAATCTCTTTTTTTTTAACTCAAAAAGAAGCAAACCTCATTTTTAGAGAAATGGCAAAGGTGTTAACACTCCCACTTAAAGTAAGTGACATGGATATTCCACAAAAGACCTGAGTGCTTGCTCAATGCAGTGTTCACGGCGATGATACAAGTGCCCCTCCGCGTGCATTAGGAGGACAAATAGCTCTCTGGGTAATTCTAAACATGTGTAAGTTATAACTTTCCCTCCTGAAGAAAGATTTTCTTCCCTCTCTTTATTGTAATCATATGCCTTTCAGTGTGGACTTTCATCTACATTAAGAATAGTTGGCATTAAGGGATGCATTTAAAATAAGGGTTTTTTTTTCTTGTTCTTTTCTTGATTTAACAAATCTGTAGATGTTCTTCGTCAAAAAAAAGGGGGCGGGGATCGAGGATACGGGAATATGGATGGGATCCCGGGCTCCAGGTACTGCCACAGTCTCTTGGTTTTATTTCCTAGTACTTGTTTTTTCTCATATCTTCCAGTGATCAGGGTAGTTACAAAAGGTGAGCCTTCAATGCTATTAATGCACCAGAAGTCATGTTTTACCATAGAATGGAATTAGACATAAGATGTGGTGGATCTGGGCCGGGTGCGGTGGTTCTAGGCGGAGGCGGGCGGATCACGAGGTCAGGAGATCCAGACCATCTTGGCTAACACGGTGAAACCCCGCCTCTACTAAAAAAAAAATACAAAAAAATTAGCAGGGCATGGTGGCGGGCGCCTGTAGTCTCAGCTACTCGGGAGGCTGAAGCAGGAGAATGGCGTGAACCCGGGAGGCTGAGCTTACAGTGAGCCTAGATCGCGCCACTGCACTCCAGCCTGGGCGGCAGACTGAGACTCCGTCTCACAGACAAAAAAAAAAAAAAAAAAGTGGTTGATCTGTCCTTTACCCTATCTAGCTCATGGGGTACAACATGAAATGCCAAAATTTTCGGAGTAGTTTAGTGCCAGACTGGAAACTAAATCTGTGCATGTATTTTTTAAATGGGGAAATGGAAGTCCTGATGATTCACCAGCTTGTTCAAAACAGGCAGAGACTAGAAGGTGGTTTCTAGGCTTAGTGACTTGGGCTACAACAGGCTAGGTCACTATGCCACACTGCTGGGTCATCGACTAGGTGGACAGCATAGTGCAATTTTTCCACCTGGCCGTCCAACTTCGATAAGGGAAACATTTTCTCGAGTGGACAAAGGGTTCCCTTCCATGCTAGATTTAACGTCAGATGTGCCTTGGGAAACATGCTTTAAAAAACACAGACTTTACTTTGTACATTTGGAAGAAAATATTCTATTTGGCCCCTGAAAGGTTTAGGAAAAGATATTTTCAATAAATTCATTGGCAGAGAATCCCACGTAACTCCACAGGATGGAAAAGAGATATTTTAAATAAATCTAGGCTTTCCATTCATTTATTAATGTAAAAATTTATTTATCCACTCATCTAATCCATATTTACAGAGCTGGTAATATAATTTGGATCAGAGCGTGCAATGGGGATGGAGTAATAAACAAAACAGTCAAAAACCCTTGCTCTGGTGAATTCATATTCTAGTAAGAGAAAGACAGACAAGAAATGAAGCAAACAGGGAAATCCTGGAGTTCAAGGGTAGACAGTATTGCAGAGAAAAATAAAGCTAAGAAGCTGGAGAGAGTGTTCCTTGGGAACGGGGGAGGGGATGGGTAATACGTACCCCTGAATTTTACATGAAGACTTGAAGGGGAGGGCTGTTAGATGCCAGCAGATGTAAGAAGCAGATCTCATGTAGAACTCCCCAAAGCTACACGGTAATTTTTATTTTACCAAAGTTTAGGAATTATGAGGTTCAAAGAGGTTTGGCAACTTGTGCACGGTCACAAAGACAAGATACAGATGCATAAGAACTTTGCACACAGGTAGATTTTTGTTAACACAGTATCAGTAATTTCATATTCACCAAGCTCTCATTTATCACCCAATGATATGCTGTGTGTCTGTGTGGCATTGTGCAATAGAGAACCGGAAACTCCCTCTAATATGTTAAGGGAAAAAAAAGAATAAAAGATAATTCAATGCCTTTCTTTAATAGCAAAAATAAAGTACACCAAATTCGCTTTTCCTAATTCCTCTAAGAAATATTATCAAAGGCATTGCTGCAGTTGCCTGTTGCCACTGAGGCACTGAGTAATCAAACACGGAGCACACACCCTTGTTTAGCATCTCAGCATGTGGAAAATCATCCTGCACAGTCCCTCTAAAACAGAAGGTTACAGCCAATATGTCTGTGCAAGGAATGCAATGAACAAAAAGACATCTGTTTGAGATGAGCACAATAAGGAAATAGTTCAAGAGCCACTGTATCATCCTTTGCATTGTGAAGAATCTTCACATAAATTTCCATGCCAGGTAGTTCTCAAAAAGTTCTTCAGTCCCCACAGGCGAATATCAATTTTGTGTGACTTAGTTCGGGGAGCCCTATCCTTCTACATTCCATATGCTGAAAAATCACACTTGCATGAAGACTACATCAGAAAAATAGTGCACTTTGGGATCCTTGGAGCAGCAACAGCCAATTTCTATGCCAACCAATCTTTCCTTATCACTTGAACTTGCCTCTATCACTGTGATCATTTCCTTTCATATGTATATGTCCTCCATTAGATTCTTAAAGGGATTCATTCATTATTTAATCCATGTGGATTTTTTTCTTGCTTGTTTTCTCTTTTCTTTTTTTGAAATAAAACAAACTAAAAGCTAGACTTTGCATTTCAAATCCACACATTGGAGGAAGACGTGGAGGTGCGGGTGTGTGGGTTGGTTCAATTGCACGTGTCGAGGTGCCAGGATCCGTGATGTACTGGGAGAGATGGTCTTCTGCAAGCTGATTATGCATCAGACCCTGTGTTTAGAGAGCAGATGTTCTGGGTTCTCGGTGGGGATGGCAATGACCCACCAGCACACTGAGGGTGCTGCTGGATCTGCTGTCGCTATTCAAGTCACTTCCTGTAACATTTGGCAGGCAGTGCTCAGGCAGCAGGGAATGATGGAGGTGGAGGGAGACCCAATCAGGCCCCCCGCAATTGATATCTGATTGATGAATGCAGGAAATTTTGGAAACAACCCATTAAAAATAGAGCTTTGAGAGTGAAAGCATTGAGCTGCACTTTTATGTAACTGTAAAAGCTTGAAAATGATTTTACTTTTTGAGGGGGAAAGAAAACTGTTTTCTAGCTAACTTACCTGCTAAAAAGAGAAATGCAAATTGTGTTTTCATATCAAGGAAACTAAACAAAAGGAAAACAGGTTTAAATTATTCACAGAGGAAATGAATTAAGAATCTCAAATTAGATTGAAATATTTAAAGCGTTAGCATTATTGGTCTTGCAACCTTCTTCATGTACAGTAAAATAAAAATAAATAAACATTGCTGTGAGCTCAAGGGAGACTTAGAAAAAAGAACAACTTCTTTTAGTTGAAAAGTAAAGTAAAATAAACTTTATTCTTTTTCACCTGGAGAAATGTTAGTTTTGAAATCCAAGGTTAAAAAAAGCATCACATTGCATTTTGACTCATGTTTATTTTTATTCCTCATTTAAATATAGTAATGAATATCCCCTCACCACATAGTCTCACACCCTCACGTATTTCCTTTAAAAAAAAATAGATTGAATCAAACATTTGAAATCTTCCAAATTTACTTTTCCTATAAAATGTGAGCTATCATTCACGGCTCGAAAGGAGAATTCATTCTGATATTGATTATGCTGTGTTAGATTTTAGATTTTTCTCTAAGTGTGTAAAGGCTGTAAACATCAGCAATCCCTGATGGTCTAACAGAATCATTCCTCCTCTGACCACATAATTGCTAAATTGTGCATGTCAAATGGCTTCAGGATACTCTGTCCCCTCTCCAGCAGGTTATCAAGGGAAACTTGCTGGAGAATGGTGCTGTTTGTATGTCCTTTAAGTTAGGAACTCAAAGGTCAAGAGTTGCCAAAAGCATTTTCACTGGGTAACTGCTCCTTTCCCCAAGCTCTGTAAGGTGTCTCTCCAGTGATCCATACCATTTATTACTAAATGCGTGTTTTTAGTTTCTAAGACAAAGCCAACTTTTACACCCAAGCTTTATTATAATTAATTATAATGATTAGTCATCGAATACATGTTTATTACATGTCTATATGCCAAGTTTACATGATAATATGGATTTATTTTTTCATAATTATTTTTGAAGATATTTAAGAAAAATAAATGTGCATTTTTTCAATGATTTAAATTCCAGTACAAACAATAATTAAATATTTAGTGTATAATAGTGTTTAGTATGAGTACAATCTAAGAATCCTTATTTGTAGTGGGATGGAAATGTCTCTTCTTAATGAGAGTGTTTTTGTCTGATTTCAGTGCTAACTTAGGAGTAGAGAGGCTCTATTAATACACTGTGAGTAATGCTAGAATTGAGTTGTTAGAATCCATTTAGTGTTAGTTCGGAATCTCTGCTCTTCCTGAGTGTTTTCTATGAGTCATACTCCTCAGCAATTGCCATTGGTTGTTCTTCTGGTTAAACTGCTATTGCAAGATTAATCTTTAGTTTTGACAGTTAAAAAAGTTGCAGCAATTAATTACTAAGGAATAATTTCTCATCCCAAAGGTTCAGACCATGAAAACACATTTATAAATATGCTGCAATACTTAACTGTTTTCCTCAAAGTATAACTTAAGACATTTTTGTGATGACAAGTCCTAAAACTCACAAATTGCATATTCCTATAAGTTAAAAGAGTTGAGGGGAGCATTTTGATTTTTTTTTTCAAATGATATGTGGAAACATTTGTCATTCACATTTGATCAGGATTCTATGATTACATTGCATATGTAAACTTCACTTCAATCGTCTATGTATTTTTCCTTTATTCCTCTTTGCTTAATGGTGGCGATATAATTTCAAGAAATGTAGTTTATGAATGTAAAAGCAGAGAGAACAAAAGAAAACAAATGATGAACATGACAGGACACTATATTCAAAATGCAGACAAAAAAACCTAACTAGCAGATGAAATCTCCTGCAGCATCTGAAACAAATGAAAGGAAAACAGATTGTCATCAAATCTTCACTTTTTTCAAAAGTTTGATACATATTTCTTTGGGGAATAGTTTGCAAATGATATATAGAATATGTGAAATACAATTGTAAACAGACAAGCAATTTACCTAGGTTACAATCTGTTCCATGATCTTTGTTCATTCTTAAGAAAAAAGACAGGGCACACCACTTGGAACAGGATTGTAGCAAAATAAATCTGAGTTTGAATTATTAGAACTGACATTATTAATATTTTTTTAATATTCTATGGCTTTCTGGTGATTCTTTGCATGCCACATCTTTAGCAAACTCCAGTGCCTTAATCATTTTAAGATTTGCTGGGTTCTCAATAGCTGTTTGCTGGTATGCAGACAAAATCTCTTTGAATGGCAATAAATATGCATGGCTAAAAAGAAAGCCATAGTCAGAAAATCGTATGTCTAAAGAATTAACTGCTATATTCAGTGTTTCTTACACTCTTGTTCGCTGAACACATGTTGCCCTGGGGTCTGAAACTGAGCTACCCTTGCCCTTTTGTGGCACTTTGGTCTCTTTCTTTCACCAAAGGCAGGGCCCGGTGGGGATGAGGTGAACAGGGAGGGGTGAGGGCGGAAAGGGCAGGAGGGGAAGGTGGATACGCAGGAAAAGAAAAGGAAAGCTCTCCGTGGGTTGCTGGTTGTCAGATCATGGGAAAACCAAATGCTATCACTTGAAAGTGGTTTCCTTCTACCCTGCTTCACCCACACTGGCAGCGCAGCCCCGCCACCAGTCACTGACCACAGCCCAGTCGCGACTTCTTTCACCCTTTGAGGTTGCACATGTGCCAGAGCGCTGACTGACACCACATTTTGAAACCGATTGTACAACATTGTCCGGCACAAGCCATGCAGAAACCTCTGCCGGCTGTGCACAGGGCCAGGACTCACAACAGAGAACGTTTCTTTCTAGGTGGTCAGCCGTGGAGCACGGGCTCTGACAATTGTTATTGTGTATGTATCTTGCTACAGAATCACTGGAGTAGAAATGCAGGAGGCAAGACTGGCAGGGGAATGAAAAGGCAAAAGATCAGATATATACGTTTTATCGTGTATCTTGGGTTTTGCACGATTTTTCTCATGTAGGAAGACCCCAGTAGAAGCGCAGTTCATCAGCCCTTCTTACCGGTGCTGTATAATGTTCCAAGTCAGTCCGTTTTTATGGAGTTATTAAAAGGTGTAGTTTGGATAAGCCATATGCTGATCTTATTCAAACGGAGAAGAGTTTTTAGGAAAAATAAGAAATTGCAGCTGGTAGCTACGGTAGTTTACTATTTTTGAACAGCTCTTTAGTATATGGTATTTTAATTCATCCCACAGATTCAAATTGGACTTTGACTGTGTACACTAGGATATACTGTATGGTGTTCTGAGTAATGCTGCTTTGCTAAAATTGCAATGTAGATTGATGCTAAAGAGGCAGCTTTGCCATTTCTAAAATCTTCTCAGGCATTTTGTACAGAATGAAAATGCTGACAGGCTAGCTACCTCTGCAAACATGGATGCTGTAAATGCATATAGTCTTGATCCTTCTACTTTCTAAGTACAGAATGGGTAATTAGTACTGCTAAGGCTGTTATAAAGATATGCAGTATTCCCATTATACCAAGAATGCTGATTTTCAGGGGTTTATAATCAGGCTTGGAAAAAAAAATGCTGTAGATAAAATTGGTACCCAAGTTTCAGTTATGGACAATTTTATTTTTCTTTTAAAAAATTTGAAGTAAAGTAAAATAATCAGGGCTACTTCCAGGCTACAGAAATCCAATAAGTGGACAATATTAAATTTTCTATATTTCTGTCTGATGTCTTGCTTTCACTTTATTTTCCACTGTGCACTTGGAACATAACCTTTTATGCACTGTGTGTTCGAATCTCACAAATGCTTAAGGACGAAGTCTTTGTTGCTTAAAGTTAGTAGACCACATCAGGGTAAAATACTTCTGTGCTTTGCATATCTGATGATCCCTCGGTAACAGAGCTTTCCCATTGGCCGTTGGCTGCCTTAGCCTGCCAGAGTTCTCTGTCTCTAATATTGGTGGTCACGTTGTGTTGGGTTTCCTTATTAATACTCTGCTAAGCCAAGGAAAACCTTACTCAGGCTATTCCACCACTGAAAGCAATTAACCTGTAACATGAGCTCTAACATCGCTGTGCACTGCAGAGAACCAACAAAGATTTGTTATTTGGCTTAATGACAAGTTTTAATCCTCTCCCAGTAGAACTCTCTAGAGGATTTTTAGCACATGGACATTACAGAACAGACATGTTCCAACTGCCCTGGTATGATGCTTTGGATTTGTTCCAAACAGGGAAAGTCTACCAAAAAGCCAGTACATAATATTAACAATAGACCATAAAACATCCATTATAAACTTCATTTTCCTCGAAACTCTCTAATAAATAAAGCAAGTCCTAATAATAATTTACACAACCTATGGGTGAAAACATACCATGATTGAATTTGTTGAGCTACAAAAACTTTGCCATTATTTACAGCATTATCTGAAGACAATTTTTTAAATTTTTACTTATTTTTTTTAATAATCAATATGGCCACAACCAGGTTATGTTTGCAATCTATGTATCTCTGCCTACCCTGATGGAATCCCTGGCTATGGCATCTTTCATTCATTCATTCCAGCACCCCACAAAACCGATTGTATGCCTGCTCTGTTTTAGGTTTTGCATTATGTTTTTAAACAAGAATTAAGTATATTAACATTTACTTCCTTCTCTATCCCCCAACAGCATTTCATGTGCATATTTCATACATAAAGTCTTTCCCTACTGCCTACTCAACATGATGAAGCTAATTTTGTCTAAATATGCCCATTATTTACTTCTAATAGTTTCTCTATATTATGCTATTAGATACTAGTTGCTTTAAGTGGTTTCCAATTTGAAGTTTGTATGTGTTAGATAACCTACTCGAATTAATGTAACAAAATCCAATCATAATACAATCCCAGTGTTTTACACGTCAGCTCATTTGCCCCATCATTTCACAGATTCTTCCTCCTTTCACTTCTCCATCTTAATCCCCATCAAAACCAGAGCAAAACAAAATTGATAGTGAAATAATGACTGTATAGAGTTATTATCCCTGTCTCTTACAGAAGAGGAAATATAGGCTTAATTTTACTCCTGTTTAACTTCTAAGCTAGTAAACTATCTGATCAAGTTGTTCTGAAGACTGACTGTTTCCTTTGATTAATATTCTCCTTCTAACTAAATTGCTTTACTTAGCAATTTGTGTTGCAGCTAAAGTACTGATTTGGTATTTTTCCACATGGGAATAAGTGGGTCATCCAGTGGCTAAGCCCAATCTCTGTATCACAGTGTTTTTTTCAGTACTATTGAGAATATTCATCAATAGCATATCTTTAGTACAACAATTAGTTTAGAAGGTACAAAATATTAAAAATTGGGTGGTTGCAGTGGCTCACTTAATCCCAGCACTTTGGGAGGCCAAGGCAGGAGGATCGCTTGAGCCCAGGAGATCTAGATCAGCCTGGGCAACATGGCAAAACTCCATCTCTAACAAAAAAATACCAAAAAGTTAGCTGGCAGCGTGGTGCATCCTTGTAGTCCTAGCTACTTGGGAGTCTGAGGCGGGAGAATCACTCCAGCCTAGGAGATCAAGGTTGCAGTGAACCTTGATCACATCATTGCACTCTAGCTTGGGTGATAGAGTGAGATTCTGCCTCAAAAAACTATACAAGGACACAAGGGGAAAGAGGTGAAATGGAAACACAACACGTAAGATCGAAGGCAACTGAGTAAGGGAATGCCTAGAAGAACCATCAGGTGAGATGAGACCCAGCAAAGTAGGATGTTAATGTAGATGAATTCTGCATCTTAGGCATGACTTCAACAAACGTGTAACACAAATGTTATTATTAACAAATGCTGTCCAAAGAGAGTGTTTTGGAATTGTTAATACCTAATTGTGCTCAGTTAATGTAAGTAGCATTCAAACGTCAAGCTGAGGTCTTCTAAGCGTCTCTGGCTTGGATTTAAGTACGATTAGCTGTATTTTTTATTCATTCAAAAATATATGCATTTAAGAATATTGCTTATGATGTCAATAATGGGCCAGTCAAACCCCAACTACCAGGATTTTTTAAAGGACTCAAAGAGAGAAAAAGGTTTATTTTCCTTTGTCCAGCAAGCAATGCTGTGTAATCTCCTTACCCCAAGTAGAGCATGCTGTTTCATTTTCTCTGTGATTACAAGGATGTGTTCTGGACTCTAGTTGGCATATTTATCCACTTCTCCAAAGGCAACCAGACAGAAAAGTTTCACATCTCCTATGTTTTGAGCAACAGTTGCTGAAGATACTGTGACATGCATGAAATGAGAAGAGCAGGCAAACCTGAATGCTGAAACATCAGTTTCCTGATTCCTCTGGCATATTTTGCCATGCAAGAGGCAGAATCAGATCTTGTTGTACCAACAGTAGCTTCAGAAAGAGAAATGATTCAGCCATTAATACTTTGACAGAAGCATTCTCTACAATAAGATTTATTTTAGGGATAGAAAAAATATTTTACAAATTGAAGCTATTTTCAAGTGTAGACAAGAAAAATTTTATTGAAATATTTACTCAGTATTCAATAATATCAAAAATTAGCCAGACACAGAATTTTCTATAGTGAAAGTGAAGGAGTTCATTAATTCTGTAAATAGTAGAACATATTTAAATATTATATAACTGAAGTGAACTATTTTGCCCAATTCTATCAAATCTGGCCATTTGGTCAGCAGCACATCATCTTGAGAAACAAAGGCTTTGCAGATAGTGGTGACTGATGAGGATTACTTATAGTTCTCCTGTTCCCTGGACCTACACAAACTGTGTGCATGCACTGTGGGAGCATGTTGATTCCCACAGCTCTTCCTGGTTAGCTAACAGTGGAACTAACTCTGTATCCATCAATTCCAATGACTACACGTGCCCTTTATTTGCATGTATGTGTGTGTATTTTAATTCCTGCTCTGTTTTAGATGCTATTGATAATCGTCATATATTATTATGTACCATCTCTTTCAAGATATGTATTAAGATATATACCTTAATGTCACTAGATGTGCTTTATGTCAAGCCCCTTACAACTACTCAAAATATCACTCTTAAATGAAAATGTACAGGCTTATTTTTAGAAAATTTTCTGGAGACTAATTGAAATGGTAGAATTCGGTGCCAAGTTACATCTGGGTTATAAATTTAGCCATCCTATGCTTCAGTGTTTGACCTGAAGTTGTGTTTGTTTTCCCACCTTTAAAATAGTAATAATTCCTTTTTATATGTTACAACCAAGTGACTTTTCCTTTACAAGAGACTGCTTTGAAGTACTGTGGGTCATATCTAATGAAGTATTATCACTGGACACTTTGTATTTCCATGTGAAAACTAAGGCTGTCATTACCAGCTTGCTTTTAAAAATAAGGGCTTTTTCTAATGAATCAGATCTTTCTGCCTTTTAAAAAGCTCATCTCTAAAGCTTTAGTTACCTGAAGAGTTTGATTTGCGTTTTCCCTTTTTCATTAGTGGTCTTAAAGGAACAGACTACCTCAAGATATTTTCTTTTCCTTTCCATAATTTATTTTGTAATCTCAACCTTTATGTCAGTTTGGAGTTTTGCTTCTCCTTATCCTTAGGATATTGATTCAACATCAATAGCAAAAAGTACTAACAATAAAACACATCGTTCTGTTTTAAATATGTCTGATTTCCAGAGTGCCACTTTCATAAAAACCAAAAGCTTTGATTAGCCAATATACTGGCCACATATCTAGAGGTGAGATTTTAGAAATGATTAATTGTTCCTTTTTCATGTAAACTAGAAAACTGAATAATCCTATACAGACTTATTGTTTCCAACTTCATGAAATATAAACTTGTCTTTTATGTTTCGCTTATACATTTACATATATATTTAATTTTGAACTATGTTATTACAGAGTTGAATTATGAGTAACACATATTCTGCAACATGTTTATAAATAAGATCTTTATTCATTTGGGGAGGCAGCATATCTTCTTTTAGTATGAGAAGGAATGTAAATTGTCTGCAGATGACTTCTGCTATAGGTTAAAGAAAAAATACCATAGAGTAACATTTACTTTAAAGAGCAAAAGACAACCAACTTTTGCTCATTTCAATACAATAAACAGTTACATTTCTCAGTTTAAATATTTGGAAATGAGATCTATAACATATGTGTCCTTTGTTCAAAATTCAAAAAAAAGGTAGTTTTGTTTAAATTTTTGTTTGCTGTTATTCTATGAAATCTGTGTTCCAGAAAGCAGCAGATGTATAACATGCTCTATTAAAATATAATAAAATAGCACCCAGGGCACTTTATGAAAAGTAGGATTAAAATAATATTTTTTGATGCCAAAGAACTGTATTCTTGGAAGTTGGTTTAGTAAAAGTAATTGGAATCAATGGGTTAATTTTTTCTAGAGCACTTATAAGTAAATATTATTAGCGAAGTATTTTAATTACTGTACTTTATGTGGCCTAAATGTAAGCATTTATTAATACAAACCAAGCTCTCATTACAAATTTGCACAGAAAATGATAAAATATTATGTATGAAATGAAGCATTAGCATGGACCATTAAGTCCTCTATTTTCATTTAATTGAATTTGTCAGTAGTACCCTCTTTAACTGAAAACCAGTCATAACCACAAAATTAAATAATAATTAAAGAAACAACTATTGAAAGAGTTGCTTGGAAGCTAAGGTGCCATTTAACCAAAACATAGCAATTTAATGTAAATTGCAGGCCATGTAGACACAGTTCTGAAAATTATGCATCCTGTGGTTCCGTATATGTTTGATTTAGCAAGCATTTTCAGCATTACAGATTAGAAGTTCTAGTTGAAGAGCCAGTCTAATTTTAAAAGAAGGGAAATGGTCAAAACTTCTGGTAAACTAAATTATACTGTGATAAGTCAATAAAGGTTGCATATAAAAATTCAATTTATTACTAGATAATCAATGGTTTTGGCCAGCTAATATCTGCATCAACATATAGGACTGAGTATATGTCTTCTTAGTGTTCCAGATAAGCCATTGTGCAAATTGTGTACGTGATAACATAATGAAAACTATTGACTCAAATACACTTCACTATTCTAGCATATATAAATGTGGGATATATCTTGAGTATCTTTCATGTTATAACTATGATATTACTCTTTCACATAAAATTTTGTTTATAGATTATTGCCTTAACAATTCTCATCTAAGACTAAGTCTAATTTATAAAAAAATCTAGTTTCATTTTGTGTGTACATGTGTATATGTATTTGTAAACATATATATGAGCGTATGTATTTTTACGAGTTGCCCTTCTGAAAGGTCTCCAACCTTTGCAAATTACTTTTTACTCTACCTAGACACGCTCCATGTTGCACAACCAGCAGGGGGAGGTAAGATTTAAGGAAATAGCAAAATGAACTTCACAGAAGCAACTATAGAAGGCAAATAAACAAACAAACAAAGGAAGAGAGACTTGTCAAGGAGCAGAATGGAGGGTTTCTAATGCACTTGGGATAGGTTTAGTGTCTTAGATATGGTGTTGGCTATCAGAATTTTGATAAACATTTGCCAATGTACTTTAGAGGTCCAGGTTTTAAGTACTGTAGACATGAATTCTAGTTATTGAAAACCTTTGTGATGTTTTTCAACATGCAAACTGTAGCTGAATTTATATACGTGGATCTGTGAGTCAACTGACATAATACAAAAGTATAGCATTCATATAAATATTCCCATAAGCTTCGAAAAAACATCAGTCTTATTTTTAAAATTTCACAGAACTGCGTTTTCCCACTTAACTACTTGTATGCAGCAATTCATAAAAGAAAACTACATGAGTAACTGAAGGATTCTAATTTTTTCAATATTTTTGTTAAAAGCATCATTGAAATTATGTTTCTGTATTTGTATACAAATGACTCAAATAAATGTGGATAAGTTAGATGCAATGTGTGTTACTGAAAGAGAGTTACGTTTCCTTGAAAATGATCAAGTTTAGGATTTGGAGTAAATAATATGATTTTTATATTTACAAACCACATTTTGATAAACTTCAATTTAGCCAGGATAAATGTTAACTCTTGCTGGGTGCTGCGGTGGTATGCACTTGTAATTTTAGCAACTCAAGAAGCTGAGGTGGGAGGAATGATCGAGGCCAGAAGTTCAAGGCTGCAGCGAATTATGATTGTGTGTGTGAATAACCACTATACTCCAGCTTGGGCAACATAGTCAGACTCCCTCTCTTAAAAAAAGAAAAAATAGTTAGCTTTCCTGGTATTTACAACTTTGACAAGTACAGTGAATGTGTCTGCAGTTAATATGAAGAAGTAGATTTCTTACATAAAGATGCAGATTGATGAGAAAAATATATTGCATTACATTAAAATTGTTGCCAAGAAAAATAAAAAATTAAAACCATATCTTAAATTTGTTAAGTTGATTTCTTATTGGAAAACACTTTCACATATTTTATTTCATTCTATCATTAACTGTCTTTTAAGAAGAACTTATTATACCCATTTTTCGGAATGAAAAATATAGCATGTTCTTAATGACATTTTAAAATAAACCTTCGTTCCCCAAATTACATGGATTTTATTTCTCTTTTTTAAGATGTAATAATGAAGTAATTACTAAACTTACAGGACTTAAAAACTGAGCTTTTTCTATTGATAATTTTTCTAATGTAACTCAAAACAGTTAGCATGTGTAACTATACCCTTTCACATTTTAGTTGCCTCATTGCACATATTGAGACCCAAAAGTCAATTTTTCAAGGATTTCATTTCAGATCACCATGTTAAGCAAGAGTCAAATTTTGAAAAAACTGAATTAAGTTGAAAGCAATTAAAAAATCTGCGAATCCAGCTACACACACGTGTGTGTTCACAAGCACATACCACTGATGCCCCGAGGCAACTTTATTGTATTTGCCAATATCCCTTTTTTCTTTTTATGTAATTTTCAACTTTTAATTGAAATAAAACCATTATGTATATTTATGAGGTACAATGGGATGTTTTGATCTATGCATACATCGTAGAAAGAGTTGATCAAGGTAATTAACATATCTATCACCAACTTATATTTTTGTGATGAAAATGTTAAGAATCTGTTCTAGCAATTTTGAAATATACAATACATTATTAATTATGGTCACCATGCAGTGCAGTAGATTACTAAAACTTATTCTTTCTATTTAACTGAAATGTTGTACCCTTTTCTTATCCTTTTCCTTCCTTCCCACCCCCGCCCAGCCTCTAGTAACCATCACCTTTCCACTCTCTGTTTCTATGAGATTGACTTTTTTAAGATGCTACATATAGGTGAGATCATATGGTCTTTGTCTTTTTGTGCCTGGCTTATTTCATTTAGCATAACGTCCTCCAGTTCCATCCACACTGTAATGAATGACAGAATTTCCTTCTTTTTAAAGTTTGTATAGTACTCCATTTTGAGTGTGTGTATATGCACACGCACACACACCATGTTTTCTCTATCTATTCATCCACTGATGAACAAAGCAAGATAGGTTGCTTACCTATCTTGGCTATTGTGAATAGTGCTGAAATGAACTTGGGAGTGCAGATATCTCTTCAACATACTAATTTCAATTCCTTTGGATATATACTCTGAAATGGGATTGCTGGATCATATGGTAGTTCTATTTTTAGTTTCCAATATTCCATTTTTTTCTCTCTCCAGCCAATGTATAATACCTGACTGTGATTTCAAAAGATTAATGAATAAAAAGAATGATTGGGGACCATGAAGTTCCAGGATTGAGGATTATTGTAGAAACAAGACCTATAGTTCACAGGTGTGCTGAGAAGACACTGGGCCCACCTCCCCCCGACAACTGGGCGTTTCTGTTTTGGACCCAGTGTTAAGTTCATGTAAGAGAAAAAAAAGAGACTGTGAAAGACTTTTGCTAAAATATCTAGTTCTTACTAAAATATTTAATTCCTTTAAGCTCCTGAATATTTTATCATATATAGATTAAACTGAGATTCATAGAATTTAATGTGGGGATTTGGGCTATTTTTGGACTTCAGATATGCTGATTTTGTTCCTCCACAATATCAATATACTTTCTTCTAAATTGGTGCAGAACAGTTGATTTTCTTTTATAATACTTCACCTGTCATGCCTTTCCAGAATCTCCCTTTACATTGAACAGATCACTACAACTCTCCATTAACCACTACAACCAATTTCTTATATGTGACAGAAAAACTTGGAGGGTTTTATGCCACAAACCCTCAATATTTGTGATTCTATGAATAGAACATTAATATGTAAGTATGGCCATATCCCATAGTCCTAAAATAATAGGACAAATGTTGAGCTGTGCTTTACTAGACCATTTAAGGGGGATATATGATGTTTTCACCAAACTGAGCAAAGCAATCTATTCAGCTCTGGCATTTAGAATATGAATTCAAAAGACTTTGAAAGTTGCTATACAAAATCCAGATTCAGAATGATGTACAGATAACCAGCCATTTAATAGAGAACATATCATTCCAGATGGCCAGAATTATTCCAGATGGCCAGAATTATGCTCCCATAATTCATAATCTGAGAAACCTCAATAGCTTGAAGCAACAAGCTAATTTTTCAGTCATGCTTGAGGTCTAACATGGATTGGTGTTAGAGAGGAAAGAAGAAAAGTGTTCTGCTCCATCAGGTCACTCAGGGACCCAAACTGATGGAGACTTACCATGTGATGATATTGACATTTCAAAACAGAAATCTGCTGAGGCAGTGGAAGTGAGAACAGGGAACTATGCTTTGCCTTTCAAATGTCTCATCCAGAAGTCACCTATGACATTTACATTACATATCATTGGCCAAAACTAGTTGCATGACTACTACATTCCACTTCCAAGAAGTAGAGGATTGTAACCTGCCATGTGCCTGGAGATAGAGAATACGACAGGTCGGCTAATGCCTAATATCTCCCTTAGAAACCAGTGGCAATCAAATGAGTGTTAATGTGATGGGAATTTTAGAAAGGAATACTTTATTTTTAAATGTTGACTATTTTTATAATCAATTTTAAAACAAAAAATTTAAATCTTCTTCAAGAAACATTTAAATAATTCACCAAGAACTTTAAAAAATCTTAACTGTTAAAGGAGTATTTAGTGTTCTTCCTTTTAATAGGCCCTTATTTCAATTCTGGTGTCACCTAAAATGTCCATCTGTGCACCATATTGTCACACATTGGCATGGCTGATCCTTAGTATTCCTATTTTTTTAAAAAATTAAATTTCCATTACATGGGACAAGTAGGGGCTTCCTGTACTTATATGATCCCTGAGTCATGTTAAATCTGGGTGTTATTTAATCTTTGAGTACTTTTGACAGATTTTGATCCTGATGTTGATGCTTCTAACTTGCCTCCTGCATCTGACACTTTGCTGGTCAGAAGTATGTCTGGATCTATCAGTATACAGTCCTCACTTTATGTGTAAAGGCTGATTTCTAGGGCATCTGTAAATAATGACTCACTCATCTTCCCAATAGAATAATTTGCCTACATTAACTGAGACAGAAAAGCATTTAAGCCACTGTTTATGACCATCGATATAGAATATGAAGGAAAAAAAAGAGATACAAGAAAAGGACAAAGACTAAACAAGGTTAAAAAAATAAAAACCTCACTGTATATTGTACTACAATCCAGAAACAGGGTGCGATAAAAAAGTCAAAACATGAACAGGGATAAAAAAGAAAGTTCTGAATTAGACATAGGTATTAATAGGATCCTGAGTCCTGTGCTTGGAATTCCAAACTCCAAAAGAAGTGTTTGTTTGTTTTATTTATTGTCTCTGTAAATTTGGCAACAAACTCATTATGTAGTAGAACCCAACCTGAACTGAAAAAAGAGCATTTTAATTTTCATTTAGCCAATTTAGTATAAATAGCCATACCTTTCACTGTAGAAATGTTAAGATACTTGTTTATGGGGAAATGTCCCAGATCTGACTGAGGATGCTATGAAGTCTAGATGTGCAGCTAATAATACTCCACTCCACTCTGAAAATGTGTGGTTCCAGGGGTTTCCACTAAGGAATTGTATGCCTGTAGACAAAAGTTAATTTGGAGGGAAATTAAGAGATCTCATACGGTTTGCCACCCACTCTTTAATTACCATCTTGCCTCTCTGTGCCCCACGTCCTTCATTTGCCTGTGAAGAGCGTGTGTGCACTCAAAGACTTACTCCCAAGGTGTTTTATTCTTCTAGTGCTCTTTGACTTCATTAATTTTCACCTTGTAAGTTCTCCATACTTTTTGTCTTGTAGGAGACAAGTATAGTTCTCAGCTCTCTTCTACCACATGCACTGTGCATGTCAAGCATAATGAGGGTATTTAGGGGATTTATCCTCTTAGTTTCAGAGTGTCCACAAGGAAAAAAATACTGAAATTTAAAGCAATTGAAAATTGATTTAGACATAAAGTGAATAGAAGAACTTTAACTTTGTGTTTGCAAATAAGCTTGTCGTTCTCCCAAAATCATTTGGTTTTTATTTTGGCTTTTTAATGCGTTACATAAAACCTTTTAGACCTCTGCAAGAATTGTGGTTTAGTCTAAAAGAAATACTTTATGATGTTGCCTGTGTATGATGGAAAATCAAGCTTTATTACAGATGTTGTGGTTGTGTCCCAAATTCCCGAATCAATGTCATTTTTGTTAGAAGTGGTCGATATTATTCACACAATGAAATAATTCATTTGATTATTCCCTATATTATTCTTGTGAACATATTATGAGCCAGATTCTGTTCTTTATACTCATAAAAGTCCTACCTGACTATAATACTTTGAATGGAATCTAATTGATGTAATTGATTCCATAAGAGTTTGTGTGTTTGTGGATGTGTATATGTGTTTTCATGTGTTCACATCTAGCTTTAGATATTTATATTAATTTATATTAGGAAGATCTTTTAAAAACTAAGTTCTTTTACATAACTATTGGTTATGTTATGTAACTATTTTACATAACAACTTTATTTCATTGAGAGGGACTATTAATGAATAAGTGTAATAAACATTTTGGAGGACATCTTTCAAGTTAATGGATGTATCAGTTATATGTCACTGCAGAGCAAACCACCCCAAATCTTAGAGACTTAAGACAACAGAGTTCTAAGTCCTCCAGATTCTGTGGGTGGGCGATCTCGTTATTGCCTTTACTGGTTTCCCTCAATGCAGCTGCAGAGCTGAATGTTCCAGCGTGGCTGGCAGCTCTGCTGGCTAAGGTGCTTAGGTTCTTCTCCACTTGGCTGTTCATCATCCAGGAGACCGCACTGGGCTTCTACACAGCATGGTCAATTGAGATTCCCAAGAGTGTCCAAGCAGAAGCTGCAGGGCCTCTTAAAGCCTGGACACCAGAACTTACACATCGTCAGTTTCATGACTTTCCATTTTTCACACAAGTGGAAAAGACAGTCATAGAACAAAGAAGGAACACATCATATGGCAAAAGGGATCCGGACACAGGGAGATGTAATTCAGTGGAATTCAGTTTTATGAGTATATCTCCATGGGTTTTAGAACTACTGAGACTCTAAAGGCCTTCCTCAAATGAAAAATTTCTCTCATCTGCCCATTATTTTCCTTCAGAATGACATGTTCTCATCACAACTAATCTTCCCACACTTTACAAAATGAAGCATACTGACTGCCCATCCATCATTGCACTATGCACATTATGCTGAGGTCTGGAACAAAGGGAACCTTCAAAATGTTGTAGGTGTACACTTCTTGGTATTATTTTTCTCCAGTACAGTTTTCTTCTAAGGACAGACTATGATATTAGAAATAGATATTTTAGCCTATAAAATCAGATGCTCTGAATTCAGACATCTAATAGAGTGAAGAGTGATGGTAACTTTAAAAGTTTGTTGCTTCTTTCTTAACTGCCCTACTGTCAAAGAGTGTATCACTTCAAGGGGAGGGTCTTACAAAAGCCAAGCAAATAGAGCACCTGAAGGAAACACTATGGGGAAACCACCCCATTCCTAGCTCATCACAAGGCTCCCTGCTTTTGCTATTAATCTGATCATATGTTTATATTGTTTTCATCAACTGTGTGCTAAATATAGTTATAATGATAACTCCATCCAGAAAAACATAAATCATTATGGTCATAAAATATTATTTTTAGAATTTTTATTTACATACTTTTTTATTGCAAGAAGCAAGATTTGATTATCAATAAAAGACTTCTAAGCATAAAAATATATTATCCCAGAATCAACTTCTTTGGGGGAAGTGGAATGAAAATTGGGTTCAAGGAGGAAAAGGAACAATATAAAATTCCTGACTGTTAAAGAACATTCTGTGCATATTTTTTTTAAATGGATGTTGGTAAAAATCAAATCTCAATGGTATTTAGATTTCATTGGATATATTTTAAGGAGTGGTACAGCAGTTTTATTTTTAAATGTCAATATTTACAACATGCCAGAAGTTACACTCTTTAAAAATATTTAAATTTAAGAGAAAATATTTTGTATGCTTATGTATTATATGCTAGACGGCACATAGTTTGTCCAAATTTTTTAGGTTGTGTGAGTACGAGAAAAAGTGGGGGGAACCACTGATATAGAGAGCCCTCTAACTCATGGTAATGGACTTCAGGAAAAAACTAGTGTCCCTTTGATTATCTGAAAGAGACTGATCAGGCCCTCAGATGCAGTCAGGATACCACTGATTACACAGGGCTTAAGCCAGATTAGTAATCACCAGTCACACTGAACTGCATAAGAAGCCCCACGTCTAGAACTATTTAGCATAATAGCATCACAATGAAAAGAAGGCTAGCATTTGGGCTTTTCTCAGCTACCATTTAGATGTGATCCAAGGAAATTAACAGTTAACATTTTGGCAGTCATGAAATACTTTAAGGATCAAACCAAAAAATGTTGATACTCTCACAACTTATACTACCCTTGGTCCACCTCCCACATCAAAGTACAGAACATTCACACACCAAGGTGTGCATATAATTTCAGGGCTGCCTGGACATGATGCCCAAGCTTTCATTAATCAAGTTTAAGAACATCAGCTTTAAATGTAAATAACGTCTCATCATCCACCTGCTTTGAAAGCCCTGTAACACTGTACATAACTAATACGTAGAATTCAGCAAATATTTGTTGATGACAGCAGCTGATATTTGCCTTCCTTGACACTGCTTTTTGATATTCATTTTCAAGCAGCCTCAATTCAACATGAAAAAAAAAATCATTTTGGAAGGGGGTGAATTCACACAACCCACTTTCAACATAGTTCTCAAAGCATTTTGTAATAGACCAGCCTGACTGAGGCAACACCTAGCAGGCTGAAGCCTGTTCCATTTTGAACACACCAAGAACAGATTCTTGCTTTCATGCTTCAAAATATTCTTGTCTCAACTCCAGATCAGCCTTTCCATGAAGCATTCATTTTCTGTGATTTCTTATTTCACATATTCTACTTTGAAATAATTTAACATCATAACACTCAAACATAAGACAATATAAGAAAGAAAATAACTTGTATGGTTCTGTGAAGTTTCCTTCTGCCCCCATGCTTGTTTAATCTCAGGGGGCACCTCTATTCTAGTGTTTTATCTGCTAAAACCCTAATCTTAATTTTGACTATGGGAGATGCTAGTTAGAAAAGCTCATCCCTATCGATGAGAAGAAGAAAAGTTTCATATGAATTATAGATTTGTGAATATAAGCATTTAAGTTTCCAATAGTAAAAACACATAAATTAGTCTAAACGCTATATCTTTCTTAATTTGAATGTCCTTAGCACCATTGGTTATACAACTAATGTGAAAACAGCATATTTTATGCAGTATATACAAATCAAATTTTTTAATGTTTTATAGCTTTATTTTCACCTGCAGATGTTCAGACTTATTCAACTTCATTCAAAAATAGTATTTTTAGAGCAGACTACACAATCTCTTAAAATCACTGTGCTTCCACCTAAGAAAAGGTTGACTGGCCTGTCACTTGTACCCATTTGTTAGAGAAAGTTCCAGAACTTCACACTTACACTACAAGTAAAAGTTGAATTTAACCTATTTGTTGACATAGTTACAATTATACTTCATTTATTTTGGTTGCTAACCTAAGAAAATAAAAGCTAAGCTGGGTTGACTGCTGTAGAAATACAAACCTATGTGATAGCAATGGCTAACATTTATTCATTATTCAACATATGCCAGGCACTGGTTTAAGGTCTGGTATCTTGTTAAATCTTCATAACAACCTACAAGGTGGGCACTATTACCTGTATTTCACAGATACAAAGACTGAGGCCCAGGGAGTGTAACATCCCAAACCACACAGTAAGAGATGGAATCAAGTCTCAAATGCCCATGTTCTGGCTCTAGACCAGTTGGTATTTAAATATAACTATAGAGCAATTAAAATTAAAGAAAATTAAAAACGAAGTTTCTCTGTCACAAGCCAAATGTCATGTGGCTAGTGGCTACCATATTGGACATGACAGACATAAAATATTTGCATAATCATAGAAACTTCTATTGGATGGTGCTGTACTAGATCACTCTGCCTTACCAATTACTAGGAAAAAAAAATTAGATTACAGGTTTTTGTTTTAAATCACGGATGACTTTAATCTGTAAATGACATCCACATGTTAAATTTGCTGATTTTTCTCCCTTATTGACTACAACTAATATTTTGTTATAACTAGCCATTCATTATGCAGGCAAAAAGTTTTCATTGAGAAAATCTAAGTGGCAACGATCACATCCTATACACAGACACTAAATAATGCTTGAAACATCAAGAAAACGGGCTGAAACGATGAACCAAATTAAAAATGTTTCATCTCCTGGCTCAAAAGGGAAAGATGGCTTATAAGAAAGCATGAAAGGATTATAAAATTAAAATTAAAACGTAAGACAATTAAAATTTCTGCTGACGTACCTCTTAATGCTTAAATAGCAATTGGAACATTGGTGATATTGGCCATAAATACCACAGTCCCAAGTCAAAAACATAAAATTGACATTACATATACTTAAGTTAAAGTGGAAATTTGAGGGATAAATTTTGAAGCCTAGTACATGGCAATAAAAAAATCTGTATAGCAAATTGGGAGTTAACAATAATTTTAAAGTAGGCTTTATTTGATAAAAAATTGCACCATCAATTTCATTTAAATAGCAGTCTCAGGAGGAATTAGAACGTTCTATAGTTGAAACGCAGCATTGACAAGTAAAGGGGAAAAAGGCAACTTTACTTTCCCTTAATAATACCAAAATATGTGTTAAAATAAAGTAAGTGAGCTAAGATTTTCAAAGGCAATTTGATTTCTATGTGGGGTTGTCATGCAATACTACATGCTGTTAGAGAAACTTACTCTTGGTACAACTTGGCTAATACTAATCTACCTTCAGAATCCTCGTTTTAAATCCAAGTTAACAGTTTCACAGGTTCTTTTTTAGTATATATTATGACTTACAATGTGTAAAATCCTTCCAAATAATGTTGGCCTAAAGTGCCTGCTAAATCCACTTCCATTTGGGTTAAAAGACTTTTGAATGGGCATTAATGTTGGTGCTGGCAGGACAGACAGCACTTTCTTCCTCATTCCAATAATGAACATTCTGTGGGCCTCTTGCTGTTTAGAGCGCTTGCAAAATAGAAATGTGTCCTGTTGTCTACTAGACATTTTAATAAAATTTCTCGAAAAATAAAGAGGAAAAGCTCAAGTAGTGACTACAGGATGCCAATTGTTAAGATTTTGTGTCTGTAGTCATCTCTGGTCTTGCTTTCTTCTGTCTGCCCTCTCTCGAGTGTGCACGGCAGCTGCAGCCCCAGTTCATACTGGAGCCTCCGGCCAGTGTTTGAGGAGTTATTTATAACCACCTCTGCTAGACTCGGTCTAGGTCAGACAAGAGAGTGTTGAAGACCAAGGGAACCTGTAAGACTCGGCTGCTACTGTGAGTCCTCAGGGATTTACATCGAGTACCTTTTGTCGTTGCTGTTGTTTTAAAAATGTCAGGAGAGCAAAATTTAGCATGTGGAGTTCTATTATAATCTGAAATACTTATATCATCAAAAGTAAAAGTTCAAAGGGATCGTGATGTCTCCCTGCTGACTTCCAAAGGCAAACGTTTAAGGGAAACAACAATACAATGAAAATTACCAAATTATGAAATTAAAAACATAAAGTAAGGGGTGTATACATGTAGACTTAGTGATATTTTTAATATCTGAAAGCTGATATTTTAAGTAATTTTTTAGGAAGAAAGATAGAAGTCTCCATTTCTTGAAACCTTAGCCTAAGTCTTTTCTATGTTTGTTTGAAATTTTTGCCAAGTTTCCTTACAAAGTATAAATATATAAAAGCATGACATAAAGAGCTAATGGTATCCAGGTCTCCAATTAAAATCCCCAACTACCAGGAACAAATATTGCATCTTCTCAGGGTAAATTAATGTTTAGTAAATTCGGACTTTTGCATGTTTATATAATTATACTTGAGACATAGTTGGAACAATAATAGGACATTATTTAATTTGTACCTCTGAATGTCATGACCAAATGTTAAAAATAAACATCTTGTACTTGCATACACCAAAATAATGTAACTGGACAAATCTCATAATTTATGATGTTAATTTTATCTTCAATATTCCTGGTACAGTAAAATTAAGATCACTGAATAAACTGATAATTTCATCAGATTTATGTCAAATATTTAATTTATTTGTATTTTTAAGTTGTGTTCAAGGGAAATTAGAAAATATTTTTAAATTCATATTTACTCCAAAATTTTAAAGCTTATAAATTCAGACAGTCTCACTTGAGTCCCCAAATATCTTAATTTGCTTTGAAGAGAAAGTATTTTTTCTTTCATTCATATAATTCAAAACAGCTAAACAGATTCTACTTCAACAATTTAAATGATTCACATGTGAGAACAAATATGGAAAATCTAAGCCCCAAACAAAATTGCAGACTTAAATTATAATGATAATTTAAAATGTGTGTAATATAATTATAGTATAGGGTCTGCTATAATGAGCTCGGCGATACTATATCTATATCAAATGTGTTAGGACCGCGATATTAGATATGCCTTTCTCTGAGCATTTTTTTACACATTTCTGAATTACGATACCTGTGCCAGAATCAGTCTACTGTATCAAGGATTTTTTGGATGGAGAAATGAATTTTTTAAATTGTCAAAACATGATAGAGCAAACTTTCATTTTCTACATAGAATCTACTAAAATATGAATATCAACTATGTATGAATTTTAAATGTATAAAGATAGTATGTACTCATTTTGAAAATATCTCTGTAAGAAAGTTGATACATAAATTGATAATTCAGATTGAATAATTTTATATAATGAAAGTAAATTAGAAACTTTTTTTACAAATATAAATTAATAATCATCTGTTCTTCCACGTAAATGCTTAATTTTTTCCATATAAATACTTTTCTTTTAGACATAAAAATATGTCATACTAAAATGCAGACCCTCTTATGGCACTTATATGTTTTTTGAATATTAAACTAATACTCTATTGTTGAATTGACAAATATACATCATTACTGCATATAAAAGTTTAGTGTAGTAACAGAAAACTATTATGCACACAGACAATTGTGTTTACAGTGAGTAGTTCTATGACAAAACAAAATTATCCTATTTGTTAATTGAAAGGGAAATACAGTTTAGATTAAAAAGTCATTGATTCCAGGTTGAGGCAGGAAGGCAATGCAGAATTATTGTCTTGAACAGTCATGGGCAATGTACTGTGGATTCAAGAAACAAAAAAGGGCTTAATATTCAACTGCACATATCCAAATAGTCATTCATTCATCCATCCATTCATTAGTCAGTCCATCCATCCATCCATCCATGCATCCATCCATCCATCCATCCCTCAGTCCATAACCTTTCATTTAACCAAAGAACAAATTAATAATATCAATGCATAAAATATTGTATCTGTGCCAAGATAGTACTGAAGAATACATAATGAGCATATAGCTTATCCTTCTACTGGGGAGACATACATATAATTAATTAACATATAAAATACAATTAATTAAAATATACAATCAAACTCTGGTGAGATCTATCTATCTATCTATCTATCTATCTATCTATATATATATATATCCCTATGGTGACACATAAAAAGGTGTGATAAATTCAAAATTGGGAAGAAGAGTGGGTTTTTTATAGGAAGGTAGAGCTGAGTCTTGGTGGACAAGTTTGGTGCCTTTAGTAACAGGAAGCTCCAGAGGTTACTGCGTCATTTCATCACTTCCAAGCACAGATTAAACACATAGCTGGGGTTCCATAAATGTTGACTGCATAAATGAAGAGAGAGAAAACTGTCTAGGCTGAGAGAATAGCATGAGCAGGTGGAGAAACAGAGAAATACCCTGTGGCTTTCAGAAGGAGTTACAGGTGTGGCTGGTGTATGTGGTAAGTGGAGAGGTATAGTGGGAAACGAAGCCCCAGACACAGGGGAGAGCCAGCTGGTGAATCATATGGAAATTATGAAAACTGATGAGATAGCATCTCCCCTGCTTTGAACTCTGTTGAAAAAGGTAAAATTATGTTTGGACACTGATCCATGAATCAATAAAAACAGCAGAAAGATCAGTGCAAAGACAGAAGAACGAGGTCTTGAAATGATGCATATTTTACAATATCTTGTCTTTCCAGTTCAAAGAAATCTTCATTTTTCAGAAATCAGAGTTGGACAGAAATAAACTGACCCCAGGGGAGTGATATTTTTCCTGTAGTTAGTAGCCTTTTAATAATGACTAGTTTCTGAATAAACAACCTGCATAAATAGGTCTCTATCTCTAGATCTATATAATTTGCTACTCCTGTCAGCGTGGGAAGTCACTCCCTCTTCAGCAGAAGCCTGCCAGGCCTGGACGCCAGGTGTGTACCTTGACTGATGAGGGGGCCGTAACCTGCTGACCCCACCCCCACCCCTGGTTTCCAGGCTGCCTTTTATCCGGAGCCCTCACTTCATTTTCACTCACTCTCTCTAAAAACACCAAGAAACCCTGGGCCCATCATCAGCTGTCTACTGTCCCCAAGTCCCAGCTGGTGTGGACTTCCTGGCTTACTCCTTCTTGTGCCTCTTGACCCTGATTTTGGATTCTGATTCAAGTTTAGGTAACTCCTCCTCTCTAGTTGCTGATTGTGGCTGGATTTTGGAACTACCTGTCACCTTTCATTTACCTTTATCAGAAATCCTGAATTAGGCTTTCTGACATTGCCTCCCTACCTGGGATTCTGACACTAAATCTAGACTTGAAAAGCTTCCGGGTTTTATTTATGTTTTTATTTGTTTGGGTCTTGTACGGCATCAGCCTTTATCCTAATAAAGATAATCCCCGATTTCTAACAATTCACATGCCGAACAAAGACGTGCATACTGCAGAGCTCTGCCACGTGTAACTTTAATGCACACGCCGTGCTAGGTGCAAATTGGCACATTGGGTTCCTAAGGACGGCCCGTCTGTCAGCAGGCAAGCAGGCCCTGCTAGAGTGCCCAGAGAAGCTTGAGGTGGGTTTTCAAAAATGCATTCTAAATCAAAGCAAGTGCATGTAAAACAGAGTACCTTTTCAAATATTTTAATACAATGATATTTTGAAATTTTTTACAAAGAATCTTGAGTGAATGCAGATTCTTTTTCTAGCCTATCTCCCTGCAATTTTGGATTGTACGAGTTAGAATGTAGTTATGTATAAATATAAGCATAGAACACTCCTTCACAGCAGAAAATTCTTCCTAAGAGCCTGCTGCTGCTTGTGGTGAGAAATATGTGAAATAACTCTTTTACAAAGTAATAGAAGTTTTAAGTCAAATTATGCTAATTTTTTCATAAATAGACACAAATTCAGGGGTGTAATAAGATGCAGTATGAATCATGCCCAATCTTCTAGACTGCCCTTATGGGAGAAAAAAAATATTTTTCTAGTTAGAAGACAGAAAAAAAAATGATATGTTAAGCTATTTCCCAAATGCCTGTTGACTCATTAATACATATTTAAGAAATACCTCCACCAATAAAATCACCTATCTTGGACTTTCCTAGGAGTTTCAAAAAAATTAATTTAACATACTTTCAGTAGTGTAAGAATATTTCTTTTGGCACAGCCATTGCATTCTGTGGACACAATGGCCTTTTACGTAAAATAGACCATATAGAGCAGTTAATTTTATAACTTTGTTCAGAGTTTTGCAGGGATTATGTGACGTTTCAGCAGTATGGATACATTTTTTTCATAAATATCAGTTCTCCATAGTCCACTAACTGCTGCTGCAGTGTCTTTAAATGTCAAATGACTTTTATCGCTCTTCCAAAATATTTAAAAAGGATTTTTGTTTGTTTGTTTACATCAAACTCTTACTTCTATCCTAGAGACAGTTTTAAAGTTTCTCAATGCTGATCTATCCCATTACCACAATTACCACCACCTCTACCACCGTAATACCACATGCAATCACAATCGACTTGCTGGAAAAAAAGGGTAATTAAATCCTGAAATAAACCAAAGGAATATAAATTATATATGCAACAAAATCTATAGCAAGTGTTCATCAAATTGGCTATAATCTCCTTTCCCTTAATATTATATGTGTGCTGAGAGTCTGTCTACCTTCCCTCCTTCCTTCCTTTTACTTTCCCTTCCTTCCTTCCTTCCTCTTTCCTTCCCTTCTTTCCTTCCTCCCTTCTCTTCCCCGCTTTCTTTCTGCTTTCCTTCATTCGTTTCATTTTTGGGGGTTTGTTTCTTTTGTTTCTTCTTTCATTTTATCATTGTATTTCTTTCTTTCTTTCTCTTTTATTTATATTTTGCACCTTGTGTCCTTAGCTTCCTAGTCTGGGCTCCTTCTGTTTCTTCAAATGCAGGCTCTGCGTATACATAGCACAGAACCTGCTTTCTTCCGGCCACAATTTGAGGGAAGAGATGACAAACATAGGAAAAGTCAGTGGAAAAGATGGTTGAGATAGTTCGTTTCACCCTTGTATTCTGTCCTGCTATTTTGGTGATGTTTGTTATTTAGTGTGATGAGAGTTCTGTGCTGTTGCTAAAACTTACAGAGGGCCAATAGGCAGAAGTAGCTGCTATGTCTGTTCTTGGAAGTTCTTGAAAATCAAAAGGAAAACATTAACAATTCTTTTGGGATCCATATCTTGTGTTTTACTGAGGTGTCCTAAGGAGTCATCTCTCTGCATATTTTTATAGGAAGCTCTCCAGTGGTGCCTTCTGTCTGTCTCATGTCTGTCTGGTGGAAACTGGTGCCTGAGGCCATGACACAAGTACTAACTTTTCCTTCCTCCACATCCTCTGAGTCTCCCTGTCTTTTCAAGGCCTAACCTGCTGAACTTAAGCACCCTTACCATGGGTACAACTGTGGGCCGCTTCCTGGCCAAACTATCCTGGCTCGTGAACTTATGTAGACAAATTCACAATGTTCTTAGGTTATGATTTATGATTTGTTTTTGAAATTGCAAAATCACTTTGATGTGAACTGCTGTTCTCCGAAACCATTCCAGATGTTTTTAAAACTCCAGAATTATCAAACAAAAATAAAACGTAGTAATAATAATAGCTAATATTACGGAAAGAGAGCTCATCAGTAATTTAGGCTTGGCAAAGTATCTTGGCCTGGTTTGTGAATTTTTTTGGTTGGGCAAAATTCGTTTGGCCAAGCGTTTCCCTCTTAATTTTTAGGCCCCTGAGTATTACAGAGGAAACTTAATCCATATGTTTCTGGTTCACTGCCTCTTAAATCGTCAAAATGTTGTTTTCCAAAAGCTTTTTAGTGTTAAAAGAATTTATCGGACACTACACAAGTTCTCGAAAGTGTTTTTTACCTCAACTGGTAGATCCCAGTGGACATGAACTCAAATTCTTAGAGTTTGGTTCTAAATTTAACATCAACAAAGCTTGACTGGGGACCAAAGCAGCCCGACAGCAGTTAGTGCTTTGAAAAGTACGACATTATTGGAAGAACACATGTGTTGAATGGAATGTACAAGTAAAAGCACACCAAAAAGCAAAGTTTGAGGGATGGATGGCAAGCCTTCCAAGGAATGACTGTTGTGTAAATTTCTATTTGATGAGCATTCCTTTACATTCTAATTTTCCAGCCACTTCTCCCCAGGCCCTTCAGCTGTATTATATCCTGGGTAATTCCGTTTCCTATACAAAAAAGCAATTTTTTTTTTAAAGTAAGTATTCTGATAATCTTGTCAGAGTGAAAAGGATAAAGAAAAAGACATAAGAACTTATTGTTTAGAATGCATCTTGTAATTTCCATAATTCACTACAAAAAATCATTCCCTGCCAGTTTATTTGATTTAACATCATCCAAAGTGTAAGGTTACATGGAATAAATAGCTAATTGGGTTAATTTAATAGCAGGTTAAATCTTTCTTTTATTTTGTCTAAAAGGCACATTAAAATAGTGCAATTTTCAAGTGGTCTTGGAAATCTAAAGTAGATTTTCTTGATAAAAAAAATTTATATAGCTTTCCCACTGCTGAGTTTATAGTGGGAGTTGCTGGCAAGCTTCCAGTTCACCGCATGAAAATCTAAGCTGCCTGTATAAGTGCAGAATTTAGTGTTGGGTCTTAAGGTTTTGTTTGGCATCTTGCCAAAGATGTTATGCATTTAGCTGGGAAAATTGCCTAGAAGTTAATTGAGAGGAAAACACTAATATACAACCTCCCCCCCTTAAGAAAAAAAAAAGCTACAGATATGCATATGGTGCTGTTCATTGATAAGATTTGTATGTATACAATAAAGACTTATAGTAAAGTTGCTTAGAATGGATTTTCACTGATTATCCACCCACCATATATCTGCGCCTTTGAGAATGCTGGTAGTTTCTCCAGGATCAGGATTTCTTCATCACAGTGCCTGCTCGGTAGAGGTACGAGATCACTGAAGTTCCTTTAAAAATGTTACTGACTAAAGGATAGTTGATGATTCAGGAATTCGGAAGAGGATATATATTAATTTAATTTCATAATCAAATATCTTAAAAGGGACACTTTGGTGCAGGATCTCAGTGTCTTCTCTCCAGAGAAGATAGGTGGAATTTGCTCTGTACTCTCCTATAAAAGCACACTTGAGCCTCCACTGAACTTCTCTTTTCCCCCGAGAACCACCAGTGCCTGGGTAAGCTCTCAGGCTTGGTCTCCTCAGGGCTGAAGCAGCACTTCTTGTTCAGAAATTCATGACTTTTTAATTTTATCAATAGTCCTTTTTACCTGAATTTTGCATTTCCTGACCCTGGCAGCTAACTTGTATTTTCTTCTCTCCTGAATTTTCTCTCTAGTGCGATAAATACACCTCTCCTCTTTAGTCTGTGACCTTTTCCCTTCTGTGGAATGCCTCCCCGCCAACTTTGTTTTGTTTTTTATTTTTCTTTTCTGATCAATAATCACGACAGAGACCCACCAGAATCACCAAAGAATTAACTGCGTGTATGTCCCACTTCAAAATGAAAGTAAAGAAAGCCGGTCGTATATTTTTGTTCATTGGATTTAGATTAAAATTTATCTGGGAGAACCCACTCACACAGTCATGCCCAGTAGTAATTAAATCACAGTTCCCCATACTTTCCATTCCTCCGCAACCCCCTCCTTTCTTAGAGATGCCTTAAGCCTTGGATAGAAAAATAACACTTCCCCAAAATCCAGTCCAGCCTGAAGCTGGAAAGCCTTGCTCTTCAATGACAAAGCTCGCAGTAAGTGGGCTTCTTGGTCACTTTCAGAGCCTTTCTTTATGGTTCTCACTGTGGTCTTGCAGAAAGAGCTTGGAGGGGGAGGGTAGTTAAGACAGAAGAACAAAGCTGGGGGGTACGCTTTGGGCCCGAAACCGAGAGAAAAGTGATCCTTTCATTAAGACGAGTGTTCTTTTGTACCTGCACTGTATCCTTTTGATGTGTTGAGGTAGAAAGGATATGAGGAAAGAAGAAACAATGAGAGTTGCTACTGTATGAATTCCTTCTCCTTATACTTAATCCTGTCCTTATTGGGGCCTTGGGTGGAAAGCTGATAATTTTGGTGAGCCCTAAAAGGAAGGCAGTGGCTTGAATTCCTGCCACCATCCCCTTGATAATGAACAAGCCTAATGAATGTGGGTAAGTGGTAAGAATCTGTGACCAGCTGCATCGGGGCAGGTAATACAGCTCAGATTTAATTGGGAGCAGGTATTGGAAGGCTGTATTACTTTAATTGGTGAGGGGTTTTCTAAATGGAAAGGACAAAGTATAATGGACAAATTGTGTAGTACAATAGCACTTAAGCTGGGATTGTATGCATTCGTTAATCTGCTGAGGAATGAGGCAATTCTAAACAATTTTCTCAGTGAAACCAACTCCAGAAAGCTTGTCCCTTTTGTTCTCCCTTGGGAAAATGCAAGATTGAAACAGAAAATACCTTTACCGAGGCAATCATTTGCCACGTGTGGAAAGCGGATACAGCTGTAAACTATGAAAAAGGGATCTTTGTAGTACAATAAAGGATGGAAAAAGAGATAAAGCTTGGGATAAGAGTGGGCCTGTCAGTGCATCTATAGGAGGAATAAAGTGATGGCATTTACAGTGACAGATGAGACTCTAAAGAGAAGGCAGGACAGTTTAGAGAGGGAAATTTGATATTTAAAAGAAAGGGCTGTGATAATTAAAAGTAGCATTACATTAAGCTCTTATGCATATCATTAATGACAGAAGGAAACTGGTGGCTTTTAAAAAGTTAATGATTCCTATAAAACCATTCTGGATACCTTACATTTTTTAAAAAGTCTGTATGAACATAAACCTGGCCTCTCAGTTTGTATTTCTGATTCCCAAATTTGCTTAAAAATATAAAACGCAATGAAGTTAGAATTAAACTCCAGTAACTGTGTGTCATTGTCCACGGAAGAGTGCTCAAGCACTGCTCAGTTAAGAAAAGGATGGACTGAGACCAGCCGCGTACACATTGCTGCAAAGGGCTCTCTTATTAAGATGTGGGCCTGAAATGAGCCCAAGGGACATTCATTGTCAAACGCGCATTAGTGCCTTGTTTCTTTTGATAATTTATATTTGACAAAATCCAATAGCATATCTATGGAATGGCATTAAAACTGCTTCCAGATTTGTGGTTCAATGATGAGTGAGCTCTGACGAGGTTGCTTAACAGGATTCTCAACAGGTTGAAACGTAAGAGTAGAAGAGCAATTGTATTGAAATTCTTAATGGGGCTTTTACACTTGTATATTTCATTACAGGTGGGAAAACTGGAAAGATTGAATGTCCTTTGGAGTTCACAGAGGTTTGGCAGTGGGAGGAGAAAAACAAAACGAAGCATAGTGGGAGTGTTGAACAGACTTTCCCAAGATCCCCAGGTGGGTTTCATGTATTGCCTAATGGGAAGAGTGGGACCGATTCAGCTTTTCACACTGGCTGAATTATCTTACCTGGGCTATTGTTCACAGCTAGAACCAAATCTACAAAGCTACAGTTTATCTAAAGAATTCTTTGGAAAGAAAACTATTTCACTATCCACACATCTAGATCCCACATATTGGACAGCGCAGGCTGTAGCCTCAGTCTCTAAAGTCCAGACTATAAAATTAAAAAAAAAAAAGTTCACAGTGTGAAATCATATTTATTCTAAAAGTAAAGAATAAAACCTTTTCTGGCCATTGGTGCATAATAGCAAAATTTTGCTTGAAACTCAGCCAAAGATGCCATAAACTATAATAAAACGAAAGATACCTCATGTTCATCAAAGTATATTCACAACGAGTAGTCAGGAGACTCACTACTTTCACATTGGAAGAGATATTTCTGGTAATGGCCACTGAAATTCACTACTGGGCTTCCACATTAAAAAATTAAAGCCTGTCAAATTCCTTGGGCCAGGGTAGAAGTAAAATAGAAAATAAATAGCTAGAGTTCCAAACCATTATCTGTTTTAAAGATTGTGATGTGGAGCATTGAAGTGCTAATCTATATTGTAATGCCATCCAATCTTTTGAATGGAGTGCATGTATGTGTGTGTGTATGTAGTTTGATTATGATAAAAGTTGTTAATATGTGACTATGCTATGTGCAAGTGTGACAAAAACTCAAAATCAGAAAAAAATTAATTAGAACAGATCAAGTTCATATAAAACTGCTATCCTTCTGGCCGCTGGAGTTAAACTGAAACATTTTCCTGTACTTGCCATATCTCCACATTCATTTCTCCTTACCAAAAGAAGAAGTAGAGAATGTCTCTCCTCGTAAAAGTCGTATATAAATTTTAGCTAACAACCATTCAGTGTTGGCAATTTCAACTTATAAAAGAATCCATTACCCCAAGAGCCATTTACACTGGGAATGTGAATAAGAAGAATCTTGACACACACACAGGCAGGCACACACACACACACACACACACACACACTTATTGATTACCTACTATGGGTCATTTAATCCAGCTAGTTGATGTTATCTGCTTCTTAACAACCACAAACTCAGCAACTGTAGTTATTTTCTACAACATTCAATTAGGGGTTTAGTAATCATAAATATCAACAAAATAGAGATTTTAATTAAATTTAGTAAGGCAGAAATTATACAGGTATAATTATACTCTTTTCTACCACTGAGCTATGCAGAGGTATAATCACTAAGTGGAGAAATTAAAGTAGCATTCTAATAGAACTTGGAAGTTCTATGAGATGAATTCCTATATATTTAGATACTATCCCCTGAAACTTCTGCTTCTGTACCTCTCCATCATCCTTTAACTTTATGACAATGATATTGGCTAAAAAGAACACCTGACTGTCCTCATGTAAGGAGAAATCTTTAATGTAGGACATTGAGGTTTCAATTTTATGTTCAATATTTATCATTTATGCTCTACATCTATAAAGTGAGGGAGACAGATACAGAGAGGGAGAGACAGGCATACACACACACATGCACACACACAAGCACACACATATATACACATCCACACATGGTTAAAATAAATATTAAATGTTATCCCAAGACAATAAGTAGAAAAATATTGTAATGAAATTCACAAATAGTTTCACACATGGAAAAGAGTTTGAAATTTTAGGAGGCATATTGTTACCTCTTTAAGTGACAATAACGGATAAATAGTTTAGGAATCTCAATGAAGAAGTATTTTCCTCTTAACCTTTATTAAACATTCCCATGTATATGTATGTATGGCCAGTAAAGGAAGTTACAAAGTAACAATATTAAATATTATCATTCTTTGTGTATTTAGCTAAAATATATCTGTCTGGAGGGAAATATATTATTTTAAATAATAAATTTATCTGATGCATCTTTAAAATAAATTATATTTATGCATTGACATTGAATAAAGTCTCTGAAATCTCACAAAGTGAATATTGACGGTTCTATGTTGGTATTATTCAACTATGTCTGGAGCATATACACATTTTGTGCTTTTGTAAAACGTAATTAATTAGTCAATAAAATAAAATGAACTTCTCAAGAGAAATGCCTTTCTATTGTTCAAAACAGATATTGAAACATGAGAAATGAAAAGAAAAAAAGAGAAAAAGTGGAAGCTTCTTATAGTTAAAAAAAAAAGTATAGTGTTACAAGTGAGATTACCTGCATAAAAGCAGGTTTCTAAAAGTCATGCCCACTTCATAAAAAGGGCAAATAAAATATCCACTGCACCAAACCATAGTAGAAGAAAATAAGATTTCATGTTTTCAAAGCTCTGGTGTAGAAAAATTTTCTATGAGAAATAGAAACATTAAATCTGTGCCACACTCAGGTGTTGAAGCTAGAATTTATTTATTTATTTTTCTTACTGTAGACAACACAAATTTGTTACCTTACAGTCCTGATTTGAGATTTTTAAAATTTGGGAATCTCAAGATACATATCCCAAAAGCTCTAGCAGAAGAAAAGACAAAACCATCTATAGAATAAATCCATAATACAGGGCATCTAGTAAAGCTACAGAAAAAAATAATGCTGCTAAAAATGAGCTCAATGATTTCAAGGAACCACCACATAAGGAAATGTGCCAGCATGGAGAGAACCAGCAGATACAACAAATAGGAGAACTGTTATTCTCACATACCCAAATCGATACAATAACCTAAAAATGAATGCAAAATAATTGTGTTTAAAGTAATTAGTGAAAATTTGGAATGAAAATCACATTAACAGAATAGCAGGTTATGGGGAAGAAAGTAGAATTCTGAAAGAACCATGTCTTAGTCAATTTTCTGCTGCTATAATAGAATACCAGAGACTAGGTAATTTGTAAAGAAAGCAGAGATTTATTTCTTACAGTTCTGGAGGTGGAGAAGTCCAAAGTCAAGGGGATTGCATTTGATGAGTGACTTCTTGCTGCATGATCTCATGGCAGAAGCGGGAGGGGCAAGAGAGCACATGTGAGAAAGAGGAGAAGGGAGCTGAACTCAGGAACACATTCCTGCAATAACTAACCTAACCTGTAATAATAGCATTAACCCATTCATGAGGGCTCTGGCCTCATGAAATCACCTCTCAAAAGGCCTACCTCTCAACACTATTGCATTGCAAATTAAGTTTCCAACATATGAACTTTGGGGGATACATTCAAACCATAGCAAAACCACAAATAATTCCAATTTTATACTACCTGAACTCAAGTAATAAAAAAAATACATATTTATTTTTATGAAATGCCCCATTATATTTGTGTTTATAGAAAGATGAATTAATTAATTCATTATTTCTATATAATTGTTGAAGTTTAGTAAATGACAATGTATAAATAGCATTAGGTAATAACTGAGAACAACAAGTAATGACAGAAAAAAGAAATGATCATGAAATGTTAAACTTGACTGTGGAAACATTGACACTTTCCTAGAGGTCTTTGAAAATAAAAAAGGAATAAGTAAAGTGTTTCTAGACTTGTCAAAAATAGGAACCCTTGTGGTGTGGTGTCAGCAAAATGGCAGACTAAGAAGTTCCAAGCTCTTATTCCTCAAACATAAACACAAAAAATAAAGTAAAATAAAACATAAACAGTGTGAACCAACTTTGTAGAAGCTCTGGAAAATGATCAAAGTTTTACAGCAACTAAGTACATACTCAATCAAGAAAAAGCCATCTTCAAAACGGTAAAAATGTTTAGTGATGGTTTTATTCTGCATCCCCAAGACCCTTCATAGTAGATGATGGCGTGCTTTTCAGCAGTGACAGATTAGTTACCAATTCCCCACTTCAAAGTGGAGGAAGCAGAGCAGACTTTACTTGAAAATTATTGTGTATGTTCATCCTAACTGGACTAGAGAAGCACTTGAAGAACTGACTTGCTCATCTCTGTCTTGTATAGTTCAGAGTACAGGTAGGAAAAGCAACAGGAAAGTCTCATAAAAACCACAAGAGGACAAAAATCCCACAGACATCTGGAACTAGAGATCCTAGGTGGAGACATACAATATACCAGCTAAGGCCCAGAGGGGAAACATATTGAGACTCTTTGGGAAATTAGGGCATTCAAAAAGAATTCTGTATACAAGGGGATTTAGAACATTACTAGCATGCCCCAGAAAGACACATGCTCAAAATTCCTTAAAAACCATTAATCTTTCACCCTGGCTGAATCCCAGACTCATGGAAGGCCTAGAAAATCATGAAGAAGTACATTAGCACAGAGGCAGTCTATAAAATCTGAGAAAGGTGACTGTCCATTTGTTTGTTTGCTTGCTTGGGGTTTTGTTTGTTTTTGTCTGTTTCAGATCCTGAAATTCAAGAAAATATTTGTCAAAGTATTAGCTGAGTGCAAGCTAAGGTATCAAAATAGTGAATACACACACCAAGGAATAATCTTTGCAAAAATACTTTGTCTCAAGACAAATAGAACACAGCAGACTTTAATAATCAAAACAGAAACACCAACATAGAGAACCTAAGGAACGAAGAGAATCTGATTTCCAAAGTCACCACATTATAAAAATCAAATGCCAATCTTCAACAACAACGAAAACAACAAAATTCACAAGACACATAAAGAAACAGGAAAATGGCTCATTCAAAGGAATAAAGTGATTAATTGGCATAAACTGTCCCTGAGAAAGCCCAGATACTAAAGTGACTTGACATTTGCTCAACTAGATAAGAGTGAGTTTCGACAAAGAAGTAAAGGAAATTTGGAACATAATATTTTATCTAAAGGAGAATATCATCAAACAAAGAAATTATATAAAAGAACCACACAAAAATTCTGGAGCTGAAAAGTACAGCAACTGAAGTTTTTAAAATTACTTGCAGAGATCAACAACGGATTTGCAGATTAGTGAACTCGAAGATAGGAAAATTGAAATTATTGAGTCTGAGGAGCAGAAGAGAAAAAGGAATGAATAAAAGTGAATAGAACCTAAGGAAACTGAGGGACACCATCAAGCAGATCAAGGAGAAGAGAGAGGTAAAAAAGAGTGGTAAGATAAATAATAGCCAAATACCTTCCAAATATGAAGAAAGACATGAATATACAGATAAAATAAGCCCAGCAATACCAAATTGGATAAACCCAAAAACATCTACACCAAAGCACATTATAATCAAATTGTTGAAAGCCAAACAATGACAGAATCTTAAAAGCAATAACAGCAAGGCAATTCAACAAAATAAAAGGGATGTTCAATACAAGTATCAGCCAATTTCTCATCAGAAGCCTGGAGGCAAGAAGGCAGAGAAATAATATATTTAAAGTGCTGAAAAAAGCCAGGCACGGTGACTCATGCCTGTAATCCCTGCACTTTGGGAGTCTGAGATGGGTGAATCACTTGAGTCAGGAGTTTGAGACCAGCCTGGCAACCATGGCAAAACTCTGTCTCTACTAAAGATAGAAAAATTAGTCGGGTGCAGTGGCATGCACCTGTAGTCCCAGCTACTTGGGAGGCTGAGGCAGGAGAATCACTTGAATCTGGGAGGCAGAGGTTGCAGTGAGCTGAGATCATACCACTGCACTCCAGCCTGGGCAACAGAGTGAGACTCCATCTCAAAAATAAAATAAAATAAAATAAAATAAAATAAAATAAAATAAAATAAAATAGGGCTGAAAAAAAAACCGATCAATGAAGATTTTTATATTTGGCAAAGTTGTTCTTTAAAAACAAGGGAGAAGTTGCAAATAGTGTAATTTATTTACTGTTCATCTGTGTTCCCAGATAAAAAATAATAATTTTCTTGTTTATCTGTATTTTCAGATAAACAAAAGCTAAGGGAATTCACTACCACTAGAACTGCTCTGTAAGAAATTCTAAAGGGAATCCTTTACAATGAAATAAAAAGACAATATGCAGTAACTTGAAGCCATATGAAAATACAATGTTCTCCTGTAAAGATAAATAAATGGGCAGATATAAGCCACAGTACCGTAATTTTAGTCTATAAGTCCACTTTTTATTTTCTACAGAATTTAAAATACAAAAGCATAAAAAGAAGTTTAAAGCTGTATTATATTATTAGTCACTCAATGTATAAATATGTAATTTGATATGCTTATGATAAATTGTAACATATTTATTATTAATAACATGAGGATGTAACTTTATAAGAGTATATTATGCAATTGAGGTCAAGTTATAATTAATTCAAATTACTTATAACCTTAAGATATTATATGCAATCCCCATGATAATCACAAAGAAAACATCTATGGAATGTAAACAATAGGAAAGCATAGGGGAATCAGACATGTCACTACAAAAATCCAATAAACGCACATAAAAACTCTAATGGAGAAAATGAGAGACAAAGAAGCTATGAGATGTATAGAAAGCAAATAGCAAATGGCAGAATTTCCTTCATATCAATATGTATTTTTAATGTAAATGGATTAAGCTCTCCAATCAAAAGTCATAGAGGCAGAACAGAAAAAAAACATGATTCAACTCTATGCTATTTTTAAGAGACTCACTTTATATTTCAAACACAATTTGAAGGTAAAGAATACAAAAAGATATTCCAGGCAAGTAGTAACTAAAGGCAAACTAGATATTATATTAATATTAGTCAAAATAGACTTTAACTCAAAAACTGTTACAAAAGGCAAAGAAAGGCATTATATGTTAATAACAATTCAATTCACCAAGAGCATTTAACTATTATAAACACATATGCATAAAATATCAGAGCCCCAATATATATGATAGAACAATGACAGATTTGAAGAGAGAAATAGACACTTATACAATAATAGTTAGAGACTTCAATACTCCCAACTTCAATATTGGGTAGAGCAATAAAACAGAAGATCAATAAGGATTTAGAGGACTTTAAACAACACTGTAGACCAATTGGATCTAAGAGACACACACAGATCATTCCATCCTATAACAGCAGAATACACATTTTTCTCAAAGGCACATGGAACATTGTCCAGTATAGTTTGGACACAACCAAGACTTAAAATTTTAAAAAGATTAAAATCATACAAAGTACCTTGTCTGATTACAATGGAATGAAGCTAGAACACAACTAAGTCTTAAAATTTTAAAAAGATTGAAATTACACCAAGTACCTTGTGTGGTAACAATGGAATAAAGCTAGAAATTAATAAAAAGAGAAAACTAGAAAACTCAAAAATACGTGGAAATTAAGCAAAACACCTTTAAACAACCAATTCATTAAAGCAGGACAAGAAAAATTAGAAAATATTTTGAGACCAATAAAAACACATGTGGAACCTCATGAGATGCAGCAAAAGCAGTGATAAGGGGGAAATTTATATCTGTAAATGCATACATTTAAAAAGAAAAATGTATTAAATCATTAGCAATATTTTAAATATTAAGAAGCTAGAAAAAATTAATAGAATGAAGTGAGGGAAAACAGTCAATAATGACAATTGGTACAAAAAAAGGAGAGAGAACAGCTAACGAAAATCAACATTCTTTCTTGATAAAAAGCACCCAATAAACTAAGGATAAAAGATAAATTCATCAACAAATTTATATGAAAAGCTTACAGATAACATCCAATATTTAAAAATAATCAACTTTTTCTCTAAACTCAGAAATAAGCAATGATGCCTGCTTTGGTCTCTTCTATTCAACGTATTACTGGAAGTTTTTTCTTTTAATATATTTTATGTGTATAATTTTTTTGTTGTACTTTAAGTTGTAGGGTACATGTGCACAACGTGCAGGTTTGTTACATATGTATCCATGTGCTATGTTGGTGTGCTGCACCCATTAACTCGTCATTTACATTAGGTATATCTCCTAATGCTGTCCCTCCCCCCTCCCCCCACCCATGACAGGCCCTGGTGTGTGATGTTCCCCATCCTGTGTCCAAGTGTTCTCATTGTTCAATTCCCACCTACTGGAAGTCCTAATCAGAGCAATAGGCAAGGGAAAGAAAGAAAATGCATCTAAATTGGAAGGGAAGAATGAAAATGATCTCTGTTCACAAATGACATAATCTTAAATGTAGATAAGCATAAAGATTTCAGAAAAACTGTTGGAATTTAATAAACAAATACAGCAAAGTTGCAGGATAGGAAATCAACATGCAAATATTAGTTGCATTTTTTTCTTAATCACTTAATAAATCATTTATTTGTAAATCAACACATGTGCTATACAGAACCTAAGAATTTAGACAATTTTAATAACCCATAAGCATGTTGATTCCTTTTGCAGATTTAAATTTTGTATAAATAGCAGTCATTGCATTCATATAACTTAAGTGTACTTTGTTTATAATCTCATTTATGCTACCGATACGCCTCAGAAAAAAACAGATTCTACTTGGTTCTAGCTGAAGTATTATGAACTCCAAATAATGCTTTGAGGACCTCCAAAGGAAAAAAACAAACAGATTCTACTTGGTTCTAGCTGAAGTATTATCAACTCCAAATCACGCTTTGAGGACTTCCAAAGGAAAAAAACAAATTCTACTTAGTTCTAGCTGAAGTATTTTCAACTCCAAATAATACTTTGAGGACATCCAAAGGTAAAGTACTAATCCCTTTGGCCATTTATTGGGAGAGAGAGACAGACAGAAAGAGAGAGAGAGTTTTGAAGCAACAATGTAACAATGTACCATTAGTAAAACTGCTGTGCAAAATTATCCCTCAGTCCTATTCTAAGCTTACAGTTCAGTTGATTTTGTTGTCCTCACCTAAGTATATACAATTCACACACAGGAAAAAAACACTAAATCAAAATGGTTATTTTCACTATTTTGCTTAAGATTCATATTTAAATATAAATCAAGAAGTTAACCTACCCAGTTTAAGAGACACTTTTTACATTACAAATGTTTTTTAAAATGTTAAACTGATACATTATTGTAAATATTTATGGTGTATGTACTGTTTCATGTAAAATGTGTATCAGTCAAATCAGTGTAATTAGCACACCCATCAACTCAAACATTTATCATTTATTTGTAGCAAGAACATTCAATACATTATTAACTATAGTCACCCTACTGTGCAATAGGACATCTGAACTTATTCCTCCTAATTTAACTTTGTACCCATTAAAAGTGGTTTTGTGTGCAAATAATAGACAGATGTTCAACATGCAAATATTAGTTGCATTTTTTACGCACTAACAATGAACAGTGTAAAAAGGAAATTAAGAAATAAATTATATTTATAAGAGTATCAAAAAGAAAATAGACAGGTATAAACCTAAACAAGTAGATAAAAGACTCATACACTGAAAACTACAAAACATTGCCAAAAGATTAGATAAATGAAAAGACATCTTGTTCATGGATTAGAATACATAATCTTACCAAGATGACCTCACTACCCAAAGCAATTTACAGATTCAATGCAATAGCTATCAAAAATACCAAGGATTTTCTTTTTGCAGGAATAGAAAAATTCATCCTAATGTTTATATGAAATCTCAAGCACCTTCAAGAGCCAAAGTCATCTTGAAAAATAAGAACAAAGATGGAGGAATTACACTTCCCAATTTCAAAAGGCACTGCAAAGACCTAACAGTGTGGTGCTGGCTTAAGGACAGACATATAGGCCAATGCAATAGATATAGAGCCTCCGAATAAACCTTTACATATAAAGTCAATTGATTTTTAGCAAGGGTGCCAAGACCATTTAATGAAGGAAAGGACATTCCTTTCAACAAAGTGAACTTAAGAAAACTGGATATTCACAGGCAAAAGAATCATGTAAAACTTGTACCACATGCCACTTACAAAAACTTACTCAAAATGGATCAAAGACCTAAACTTAGAAGGTAAAATTCCAAAACTCTTACAAAAAATAGCTTGTATGACATTGGATTTGGCAGAGATTGCTTGCATATGATATCAAAAGCAGAGGCAATAAAAGAAATAGTAAGTAAATTGGACTTCATCAAAATGTAAAATGTTGTACATCAAAGGATGCTATCAAGTGAAAATATTTGTAAGTCATATACCTGATAAGTGATTAATATCCAGAATGCATAAATAACTTCTAAAACTTAACAAGAAAAACAAACAATGGTTAAAGGACTTGAATAAACATGTCTCCAAGGAAGATACACAAATGGGCAACACGCAGTTGAAAAAATGCTCAGCATCACTCATCATTAGCAAAAGGCAAATCATAAACACAATGAGGTACAACTTCACACGCATTACAGTGCCTCTTATTGAAAGAAAACAAAAGTGTTAGGAAAATGTTAGAGAGAAATTGCATCCCTTGTGCAACGCTGGTAGTAATGTGAAATAGTGCAGTCTTTGTGGAAAATAGCATGGCAATTCCTCAAAAAGTGAAACCTAGAAGTACCATACGATCCAGCAATTCCACTTCTAGGTAGACACTCGAAAGGACTGAAAGCAAGGACTCAAAGAGAAAATTATACACTGATGTTCATAGCAGCATTATTCAAAATAGCTGAAATGTGGAAACAACCCAAATGTCTGTCAATCATCAACAGATGAGTGGATATAAGAAATATGCTATAAACATACAATGGAATATTATTCAGTCTTAAAAATAAATGAAATTCCTCTGAGACATACTACACCGTGGATAAACCATGAATGCATGATGCTAAGTGAAAGAAAGTAGACACAAAGGAAAAATGTAGTATGATTTCACTTATATGAGGTACCTAGAAAAGGCAATTTAATAAAAGCAGAAAATAGAATAGAGGTTACCAGGGTCTGGGGGTAGGGAGTAAAGTGGGGGTGATATTTAGTGGGTACCAAGCTTCTGTTTTAGATGATAAAAATGTTCTGGAAATGGATAGTGGTGGTAACTGCACGACATTATGAATGTCACTGAGGTGTACATTTAAAAATCACTTACAGATGTTTTATGTTATGTATATTTTACCACAATTAAAAAAAACTAAAAAAAGAAACTCCCTTTCTACTCCTCACCAATATATTACTAAATCACAAAAGGAGCCTGTTTTCTGACAGTGTTCAAAATTCTCCTAGCATTAATAATTATAATCCAGCATTTCACTGAGCCAGAAGCAGCCTTAACAACTGGTTAAAAAAAAAAGTAGTCACCTGTATGCAGTGATTTTAAGTGCATACAAATGGCTCTAGATATTAGAGAAAAAGCAATTTTTATTAAGCATTTGATATTTAGTTATTTTAACATTTGGAAATAATGATTCAGCCCATGATCATCAAAATAAATGCAGAAAAAGGATTTGACAAAATCCAACACACATCCATGATTAAAAATGCTCAACAGACTAATGAAAGGAAATGTCCTCAACTTGCTAAAAGGCAGCTGCATAAAACCTACAGCTAGCCTTATACTTAATGCTGAAAGATTGAATGCATCCCCTGAAAGATGGGAAAAAAAAGCAAGGATTTCTGTTCTCACCTCTCCTACTTAACATTTTAATTGAGCTTGTAGCCAGTATATAATGGCAAATAATAATAATAGAAATTAAAAACATGCACATTTGAAAGTATGAAGTACAATTGTCTTTATTCACAGATGATGTCCTCATATACATAGAAAGTCTTAAGGAAGCCACAATAAAACTACTAAACCAAATCGAAGAGGTCAGCATGTTTACCTATATAAGATCTATATACAAAGGTAATTGTATTTTCAAATACAAGTAACAATCCAAAAATGAAATTAATTATATTCACAAAATTATCAAAAAAGAATGAAATGCTTAGGAATAAATTTAACAAAAAGTGCAAAATGTATAACATGACAACTACAAAACATTGCTATGACATATCCAAAGAAGATTTAACTAAATGGAGAGACCTTCCATATGTTTGAATTGAAAAATTAATCCTTTTATGATGTCAATTCTCCCCTAAATTGATTTATAAATTTAACACACACCCTATCAAAATCTCAGTAGGTTGGGGTTTTTGTTGTTGTTGTTTGCAAAAATGGACAAGCTGATTCTAAAATTTATAAAAAATTACAAAACACCTAGAACAGCCAGAATAACTTTGAAAAAGAATAAAGTTGAAGGACTTAGACTTCTATAATTCAAAATTACTATAAGTCCACACTAAGCAAGATAGAATGCTGCCAGTGTGAGGATAAACATATAGATCAGTGGTACAGAATTGAGAATCCTGAAATAAACACATTTGTGGTCAAATAATTTGAAAAAAGGTGTCAAGGCAATTCAGTGAGGAAAAAAATAGCCTTTCATATAAACAATACAGGGACAACTGAATGTCCACATGTCAAAAGACTGATGTAGACCTGTATGTCCCATCGTACAACAACTCAAAAATGTCTCAGAGACCTCATATAAAAGTCAAACTCATAAAACATCCACAAGAAAATATATGAGAAAATATTTGTTAACTTTAAGGAGACACCAAAAGTGCAACTCATAACAACAAAAAAAGATAAATTGAAATTCATCCTAATTAACAATTTTAAGCTTTGAAAGATATCATGAAAAAGTTAAAAGACAAGACATAAAGTGGAAGAAAATACTTGCAAATCATATATAGGATAAATGACTAGTTACGAGACTTTATCTAGAACTGTTACAATTCAATAATAAAAAAACAATCGAACAACCCAATTTAAAAATGGGTAAAATATTTGGATAGACATTTCACCAAAGAAGATATATGAATGGCTAATAATCACATGAAAAGGTGCAAACATTATTAGTAATTACGAAAATGAAAATTTCCTGGCTAACACAGTGAAACCCTGTCCCTACTAAAAGTACAAAAAATTAGCCAGGCGTGGTGACAGGCACCTTTAGTCCCAGCTACTCGGGAGGCTGAGGCAGGAGAATGGCATGAACCTGGGAGGCAGAGCTTGCAGTGAGCCGAGATCGTGCCACTGCACTCCAGCCTGGGCGACAGAGTGAAACTCTGTCTCCAAAAAAAAAGAAAGAAAATGAAAATTAAAACAACAATGAGATGCTACTTCACACCCACCAGAAGGGTTTTTCTTTTCTTTTCTTTTATCTTATCTTTTCTTTTCTCTTTTCTTTTCTTTTCTTTTTTTTTTCTTTTCTTCTTCTCTTCTCTTTTCCTTTTTTCTCTTTTGGAAAAAGACAATACCAACTGTTGACCAAGATATGGAAAACTAAGAACCCTCATAAGTTGCTGGGGAAAATGTACTGCCACTTTGAAAAAGTTTGGCAGTTATTTAAAAAGTTAACATAAACTTATCAAATAACCCACCAATTTCATTCTGAGGAATATAAGAGGAAAGGAAACAAACACCCACACAAAGGCTTGCATAGGAATGTTTATATTTATAGCAGCATTCTTCATAGCAGCCCCAAACTGGAAGCAATACATATTTTCCTCAACTGTTCAACAGACCAAATGAAAGGTAGCCATATAAAAATTCAATACCATTCAGTAATAAAACGGACAAGTTATTGGTAGATGCTAGGTTGTGAATGAACTTCAAAATGTCATGCTAAGTGAACAGAGTCAGATGCAAAAGAGTCAGATGCAAAAGACCATATTTTGTATGATCCCATTTGTAGGAAAAGCTCAATAAAGGCTAAAATATAAATACAGAAAGTAGATTAAGGACTGCAATGTTCTAAAACTAGACTGTTGATTGCACAACTCTATAAATTTACTCAAAATTGAAATACACATACACACATGCAACTAGAACTCTCTATATAGCTGCTTATTAAAATTTATTTTCCCTTAGTCCATGTGCAGTGGCTCACACCTGTAATCTCAACACTTTGGGGAGCTCAAACAGGAGGATCACTTGAGCTTAGGAGTTTGAGACCAGGCTGGTTGTGTTAGTCCATTTCATACTGTGGTAAAGAACTGCTAAAGACTGAATAATTTATAAAAGAAAGAGGTTTAATTGACCCAAAGTTCAGCATGGCTGGGGAGGCTTCAGGATACTTACAATCACGGAGGAAACAAGGCACTTTCCTCACAAGGCTGCAGGACAGAGAAGTGCTGAGCAAAGGGGGAAGAGCTACTTACAAAACCATCAGATTTTGCGAGACTCACTCACTATCACGAGAACAGCATGGGGGAACTCACCCCTATAATTTAATTACCTCCACCTGGTCTCTCCTTTGACACAAGGGGATTCTGGGGATTACAATTCAAGATGATATTTGGGTGGGGATACAAAGCCTAACCATATCACTGAGCAACATAGCAAGACCCTGTCTGTACAAAAAAATACAAAAATTAGAGGGCTGTGGTGGTATGTGCCTGTAGTTCCAGCTACTTGGGAAGCTGAGGCAGGAGGATCACTTGATCTTGGGAGGTCAAGGCTGCAGTGAGCTGTGATGATGTCACTACACTCTAGCCTGGGAAACAGAATGAGACCCTGTCTCAAAAAAACAAACTTCCCAATTCCTCTACCACTACAAAAAATATTTTCTTATTACTTTTTTTTTTTTTTGAGACAGAATCTCGCTCTGTCGCCCAGGCTAGAGTACAGTAGCCCAATCTTGGCTCACTGCAAGCTCCGCCTCCCAGATTCACGCCATTCTCCTGCCTCAGCCTCTCGAGTAGCTGGGAACAAAAAATATTTTCATGTGTTACTATGGAGTTTGCGCTTATTGTGTTTGCTTTCTCTTGGTTAATCATGAATATATATTTCAATATCACATGATTTTATGATGCTGCTCAAACCAATAACTTTACTACAATAATGTAAGTAAAATAAGAAGGGAACAGCAAAAAATCATAAGAATTTCATGGAAGGGAGCACATCCCCATGCTGCTCAGGAAAGCATTAAGGGACAAAAAAAAAAAAAAAAAAGATAGAGTCCTCACTGTTTTAGATGGATAGTAAATATTCTAGGTATTGTAGATATTTATAAGAAAAAGCACAGGAAAAAATATGTTCAGTGTATATTCAGGAAACAGCCATTACTACAATTCCCAATGAGTAGGGCTTGGAAAGAATAGTTGCCATCATTGGACAAAGGAACAGAGAGCTTGAACTCCAACTGGTGGAAAAGCACCATACACTTTAGGAGAATCTCCTGAATGAATGAAAGGATCTCATTACGAATCAAAGTTGCCTTATTTATTAAGTGTATTGGTCTGTTTTCACACTGCTGATAAAGACATACCCAAGACTGAGTAATGGAGGTTTCATGGACTTACAGTTCCACATGGCTGAGGAGGCCTCATAATCAGGGCAGAAGGCCAGGAGGAGCAAGTCACATCTTACATGGATGGCAGCAGGCAAAGAGAGAGCTTGTGCAGGGAAACCCCACCTTATAAAACCAGCAGATCTTGTCAGACTTATTCTCTATCATGAGAACAACACGGAAAAGACCCACCCCCATGATTCAATTACCTCCCACTGGATCCTTCCCATAACACATGGGAATCATGGGAGCTACAATTCAAGATGAGATTTGGGTGGGGGCACAGACAAACCATATTAGTAAGGAATGTACATCCCATTTGAAGAGATATTATTATTTCAAGTGTTCCTGAAGCTCTGTTTTCTAATGAGTACATTTTAAATTCTGTTGTGAGTCCTCATTTTACTTTCATAGAAGTTATTAAATTATTGTTATGGCATGTATTTGGAAACTGACACAAAGCAATATTTTTATATATAGTCATCATCTTCACATGTGATAAAAAATTTATATAGAATTAATTTCAACTTGGTTGTTGATAAAAGTAAAGTCACAGAATTCTTTAAAATATATCATTAAATATGGGGATATTAGAAAAAGAGATGCTCAGGAGCCATATACTCCTGTGTTTTTGTGATCATTTTAGAGAAAAGTCTTTGTCTTCTACACTTGCTTTTAAAAAGAGACCAAAAGAAATATAGTATAAAAGAAAAAAGTATAATATAAATGGAGTATAAAATATCCATGAAGTATACTTTTCTTTCCAAAATTGAATGTTATTTTATAAGTTTTAATGAAATAAAAAATTCCATTATTGCCTTTCCTATGTCTTTGTGAGAACTGCAAAATATCACTAAACAAGACCTTTTCCCAATTTACTGAATGATTTGAGATGTAAGATTTTTAATTGTCTGCTAAATGCCACCAAAAATATATATTTCCTACTATCTATTCAAGGCATCTTTTTATTCAACACCTGTGATAATGATAATTTTTTAGAACTTCTAATCAGTGGAAAATTTCAGTGTAAATTCCAATGTATTAAAGACTTAAAAAGCAAGAAAAGATGTTATTGTAATTGTTATTATATTTATTTTATATTAGATATAAGTATTGATTCCAGATTATTTCTAATATCATATGTATCCTTAAATATACATTATTATTACCAGTGTTGACTCCTTCATTGATATATTTGCAACTCTTTCTAAGCAAAATTCTATGACTTCTCACAATATGTTTTCTCTCATGTAGACAGCTCCAAACAATGTATTTTATCATTTGACGTCACTAAAATTATTAGAAGACCCAATAATAGACCTGTTTTATTAATATATGTTGAAGACACTTATGGAGTTAGGAACATTTTCTAAAAAGCACACAAGGAGATAGCCAAATGAGCTACATTTTGTAAAAAGTAATTCTCCTAGTCTAGATAAGATAGTGAGACTAGCCATTAGTTTATTCAGTAAACTTATTCTACTTTTAGTATGTAGTATGTAGGGGTGAGTTTAATAATAAAGCTATGCTTTTTCATTTAAAAAATTTTAACTTTTTTTAACTTGTGATTCTTGATAGTTTTCTTTATGACAAAATTTAGTCCATATCCAGCTTAATACAAAAAATAAAAAACAAAACAAATACTTATGATCTCAAAATCAAGAAAGAATAATTGTGGGCAGGACTCACTTAGAAGTCTTCTTTCTTGAGCTAACTTTACTATCTCCTGCTGTAATTTCTAGAAAATTTTCCTAACTCTGTGTTTCCAACATATATTAATAAAGCAGGTCTATCATCAGGTCTTCTAATAATTTTATTGAATTAAAGAGAAAAATATTGAGTGAGTTGCCTTTAGAGTTTTTATTAATGGCTAAAATATGCATTTGTCTGCAATGTCTGCCTAAAAAGTTAGTTACCAAGATCTAGTGAATCTTAAAATCAGTTTGCTTCATTTACATACAGAAGTAATATTAGTTGACAGTGTCAGTATATCTGTGGGAAACACCAGATACATTCAAAACATAAAATACAAAATAAAGAGCAAACACAAAGTTTATATTTAATTAAAGCAAAATAGATAATCTAATAGTAAATTTTGCAACAGAGAATAATCTGAATTTATTCAGTCCCTTTGGAAGATTTTTAGATTTTTTCCAACAGGATCTGCTCACACACAAAAATTCAATGCAGTTTATTAACAGTTAGCATATCATCTCTAAATGAAGCTCATTGCAATCTAAAATGGACCCTGTAAGGAGCTAATGAGCAAGATCCTGCCTGATATCGACAATTAATCAGACATAAAAGCATTTAGGATCAGGACCCGTTGACAAGCATGTACACTCATACAGACTTCAATGAAAGATGGTATGTGAACATATTTGTCTAATTGTACATTGGGTTTTCGAACAAATTCCCACCAAAACACTTAATTATCTGCAGAGGTGATGCTTCCATTTCAGAATCTGTAGGAAGCTTTTTGGTTGCTGTAACCATATATAATGGATTAAATGAAGTTTAATAAGCTTTGTTTCCAATTTTCCCATTTTAATTGCTATAGCAACCTGAAGCCAAAGTTGGATCACTGGATAGAGTAACTGAGCAATTAAAAGCAACCATCTTTGTCCTCTGATAGAATTATCCTTGGCCCTTAAGGAAAAAAAAAAAAAAAAAAACAACAAGTATTTAAAATAAATGAAAATTTGGAACATGACAAAAATATCTTTTTACATTGAAAATGGGAAATTATACATTAGTTAGCATTTATATTTCTCCTTTTAAAGTTTATAGTTGAAAATATTCAAAATGAATATTTTATATCAACTTTAAACATAAGAAATGAGTTATAACTAATATGAATGAGTGTATCTCATAACTAATAAATTACTTACATCTGATTTCACCCTGACATATGAAAAAGAGGAAACAAAAACACATACCTGTTGTATCGTTCTTTGCTTTTAAAAATAAAATATCTTGATTTATTTTTGAAGTAATTTTGTTATATTTAAGGGACCTTTGAGTTTAATTTCTCTAACAGGTCAAATTGTAGATTAATCTCTCCTCTGCTCCCTTTCCAATATGTGATTTTTTTCCATCTTCACATAGTTTATTTAAAATTTGTAATTTCTGAAACAATAAAAGGAAAACACAAAATTTGTTTTTTAAGTGTTGTAGTTAAATATAGCCTTTGCATACTATTGAAGATAAAATAGCTCCAGGTGTTTCTGAGTGAGATCTTTAGTTATAGATACATTCATTGCTTTAGAATACAATATCATACTAATAGTTTATGCTGATTTGATCTTTCTTAGTTTAGAAGCTTGCTTTTCTCTTTCAAAGGGAAATCAACAAAGAGTATTGCTTTCTTGCAAATTGGCAGGAAGGTTTCCAGCATAATGAAAGAGTGCAGAAAAAACAAGTTAATTCAAGGATAAAACTGTGAATAAGTAGAAGAGAAGACTACACCAGGAAAAGAGACGGAGATAGAGGCCCAATAGAGTAAGTAATTTTAGAAGAAATTTAATACTGGAAGAATAGATGTTTTCCAGAATAAAGAGAAACATAAGCTAAAATGGATAATTTCCTTAACGCTATGCCATATAGAAATGCAAATTTACATACAAATAAATTAACAGTTATTTACTGTATAAATATTATTCTGATAATATTATTTCTTTATAGATTTAGCTCCTATATTTTACTTAAAATGAGAGCACAATTGTTAAATACAGTTTATACACTAAGTCTTTGAGACAGAAATATGTGGCTTGTAAGAGAATGACCTGATTCAAATGCCAAATTAAACCAATAATTTTAACTAAACGCATACTCTGGTCATCTATCTTCATGTAATCTCTCCAAATCTATCAATAAAATATCAATGCAAATATAAACAAAAAGAAAACAGCAACAAAAACTAGTATTTATAGCCAACTTATTGCAAAATTTGGGAGGTACAAAACTTTCAGAGTTGAAAGGAGAATTACATATACATTTTGCTTAAGATAATACAAATACAGTAGTTTGACAAGGATGTAGAGATATTTTATTTATTGCTTATAGATTGGATGATGGCTCATAATCTGTAATAGGCACTGAGAAAACAAAGCAGATGCAATAAAACAGCTGAGGGTTGCCACCTCTCTTCCAATTTCTTCCTCCCATAATCAACTTCTCTTCAAATGTAATCAGAAATGACAACTTCATCGCTCAGAAAACCACAGGTCAGATACAGAAAAGTAATGCTTGGATAAATTATATCATGGGAGATATAAAGCTCAGCTACAAAGTCCAGAAATACAACAGACAGAAACAGAAAGAGCCATGGGGAAACTTGATGCTGAAATTGGGGTTTTTAGCATTGACTGTTACTTCTGTGGGGGTTGGAGTTGATGCCACTTGGATTAGCAGAGCTTCTTCATTAATGCTTGCTAACCCTTAAAATCAGTGTGCAAATATCAATTAGTCCTTTAGCTGGGCAAAGACAGTTCAACATACTGATAGGCAGACAACTAGGCTAAGGGTAAGCCCTAGCCCCTGTTTATAGGAAATCACTCAGCCTGGAAACAATCAAGCTGAAGTTGAAAACTACAAAAACTAGAGTCAGAGAAACATGATGACCCAAAAATATCAGTGTAATTGAAGTGAATAATCTTCAATTGAGTCTTTACCCTGAAGACTCAAGTGAAGATTAAATCTCTCACTGTATTTAAATATCACAAAAGAATACAATGTTAGAATAAAAAAAACACTAATTTCTCAAGTAATTCAATAAAATAAAATAACATATTAAGTCTGTGAAACAGAATAAGTTTAACAAGAAGGAACAGATTAAAATTAAAATGGAATTGGGTAAGAGGATGTATAAAAGGAAATTATCTGTCTATGAAGGGCAATTTGGTAATGTTTCTCAAAAATACAAACAAAAAAAAAAGAGGAAAAACACAAAGATTCTGAATGCTAACAATTATGATTTTTAGGAATGTATCCTATATATCTTCACTCCTGTGAAAGAGACTTACATACAAAGACTATTTGAAAGAATTGTTTGTACTGTCAAAAGATTGAACACAAAGTAGATCTCAAAAGAAACACTAAATTATGCAAATCCATTTAATGCAATATCCTGTAACTATTAAAACTGAGGGACAATTAAAGAAGATTGAAAGATATTGAGGGATATATACATATTAAAACAAGGATTGATTTCTAAGATAGATAATTTTGTAAAACAAATCAAGTTGCCAAAAATGTATAATAAAGTATATTTCTGGCCGGGCATGGTGGCTCATGCCTGTAATCCCAGTACTTTGGGAGGCTGAGACGGGTGGATCACCAGGTCAGGAGATTGAGACCACCCTGGTCCACACAGGGAAATCCCGTCTCTACTAAAAATACAAAAAATTAGCAGGGCGTGGTGGTAGTGGGTGCCTGTATTCCCAGCTACTCAGGAGGCTGAGGCAGGAGAATGGCATGAACTTGGGAGGCAGAGTTTGCAGTGAGCCAAGATTGTGCCACTGCACTCCAGCCTGGGTGACAGAGTGAGACTCCATCTCAATCAATCAATCAATCAATCAATCAATAAATAAATAAAGTATATTCCTGTAAATACTTACAAATGTACAGGAATATAAGAGCTAAATTAAATCCACCTGAAAATCAATGAACTCATAGAATTTTGTGAGACTTTTGAATTAGTTATGTGAAGGACAGGAATCATTTGCTCTCTCAGAATGAAGAAAAAATTGGCAATGAGATGAAAATTATAAAAGAATATTGACATGGAAGAGTGTGAAAAAAGGAGTCAACCTAAAACGATTTCATATTCTTAAGATCCCAACCTAAAAGGATTTTGTATTCTTAAGAAAGAAAAAAGTATAGAATCAATAACATAATGAAAGAATAATTTCTTGAGCTAAAGAAACAGGCAACATTGTGAACCTACAGGATCCATACTTTGAAATGTAGGAAGAAAAAACAGAGTATTTTAGTTTCCTAGGTAGATAAGAAATACTTACCAACACAGGAGAAAATATGTTTTCGAACTTTACTTCTGAAACATTATTTTTTAAATCAATATCAAAATATAAATATAAAATAATTGCCATGATTTTGAAATTATGTTTTGCCTAAATATTATTCACATTGGATATTAATTTTGGACATACATAAGTAACAGTAGGATAATCCGAGAAAAAAAATATATACACACACATCTCTGACAAAAAAATCATAGAATGTTTAAAAACAAAAACATCAATCAGTCCAATTAAAAAGGAGCAAAGCTGGCAATATTATTTCATACAAAGTAAATTTTAGACAAAAAATGACTGAACTCTTTATAGATACAAAAATTTTACTAATATTATAACTATTAATATTTGTGTACTAAATTAGTATAACACTATTAGAAAAATAAGGGTAAACGTAAGGTAAGAAACATGCAATTGCTTTGAGAAATTCTACCTCCATCTTTGTCTTTCTTTGATAAGGCAATAAATCAAAGCAAAATACTTGAAAAATGTAATCCCTAAGACTAGATTTATAGATATGCATAAACATCTCAACAACAGAAAATATCCTTTTCCCTAAGTTTCCATGAAAATTTAGCCTTCCCAAAACATAATTACCTTCACTCCCATATAGTATGAAACATACTCTGTGATAAAAATCTAATGAGTTAGAAAATGATAATTAATATTTTAAGCAATAACAAGAAAGCATTTTAACATTTAGAAATTAAATATTTATGGAGTCAAAGACGAAATTTAAGAATGTTAAAGAAATATAATGTAAGAATGTAAGAAAGGTAACGTTACAGAAGACAGTAGATCCAAAATGGAGTCACTCCATTCCACCAAAATGAAACCTAAGTTTTTGACCTTTCAAAAAATCAGGCAACAAATGACAGCAAAATTATGTTACTCCAACAATATTTTGCTTTCATCCCTGTTAAAAAATTAACCTCAAAATGATCAATTTGCTATTTTTTTCTTCTTTCTTCTTTTCTCCACATTTTTGTACATGTGAAACTCATTCATTCTGTTTAGTTTATTGAAGCTCCTTTATATTTTCCTTTAATGAATTGTTAATAAAAAGCCAATTAGATCTTGGAAACTCAATTTGTGGAAATGTTTTTTACAGTGATAATCATAAATTGTTAAAGAAAGAACAAAATAATATTACAACATGTGAAATTTATGGGAAACCTCCCAAATGAAACAGTATTCTTTGCTTTAGATATTTATTATAAAAAAAAATAAAAATAATTCAGAGTCAAATCTCAAAGCATATTACAAAGTACTGGCATTTTATACAATAAGGTGTTATTTGCTTTACTTTTCTGTTTACGTTTTTAATAGATTTTATATATTTTTAATTAATAAACTTTATTTTTTTAGAGCAGTTTTAGGCTCACGGAAAAAGTACATGGAAAGTAAAGAGAATTCCCATATATTTCCATTCCTAAACATGCACATCCTCCCCCAGTAATAACATCCCATGCCACAGTAGCACATTTGTTATAATCGATGGACTTACATTGGCACATTATGAACCAACTCATAACTTACATGAACATTCACTCATGGTGTTCTACAAATGTACAATAACAAGTGTCATCCATCCTAGTATCATTCAGAAGAGTTTTGCTGCCCCCAAATTGCTCTCTGCTCTACCTGTTTACCCCTCCATTCCACCTAACCCCAGGCAACCACTGATCTTTCACTGCCTCCATTCTTTTGCTTTTCCAGAATGTCATATAGTTAGAATCATATAGTACATAGCCTTTTTAGATGTGCTTCTTTCACTTAATAATATGTGTTTGAAATGTTCTCAACACAGAGAAATGATAAATGTTTGAGATTATGAATATCCTAAATACCCTGATGTGATCATTATATAAGCATGTATCAAAATATCACTTGCCCCATAAATATACACAATTAATATGTATCAATAAAAATAATTTTTTTTTTGAGACAGAGTCTTGTACTGTCATCCGGGCTGGAGTACAGTGGCATGATCTCGTCTCACTGTAACCTCCACCTCCCGGGTTCAAGCAATTCCCCTGCCTCAACCTCCAGAGTAGCTGGGATTACAGGCGCCCGCCATCACACCTGGCTAATTTTTGTGTTTTTTAGTACAGACAGGGTTTCATCATGTTGGCCAGCTGGTCTTGAACTCCTGACCTCGTGATCCACCCGCCTTGACCTCCCAAAGTGCTGGGATTACAGGCGTGAGCCACCGTGCCTGGCCATAAATTTAATTTTTTAAAAAGATCATGTTAACTAAATTCATGTGTGTCTATTTCTCAGTTCTCTATTCTGTTCCATTAATGTATTTGTCTATTTTTTTGCCAATACCACGTGGCTTGAATATTGTAGTTTTATAGTAATTATTCAAAATAGCATCAGTCAGTCTTCTGACTGTTCTTCTTCTTCAATATTGAATTGTCTATTTTGCATGCTTCACCTCTTCATATAAACTATAGATTCATTTTGTTGATTTCCACAATATAGCTAGATATAATTTAATGAGAATTTGTTTGAGATTGCATTAAATCTATAGATCAAGTTGGGAAGAACCAACGTCTGACTGGCAATTATGCATCTTTCTATCAATAAACACAAAATAGCTCTTCATTTGTATATTTCTTCTTCGATATTGTTACAGGATCAGTGGAGTGTTGCTGTTCTGGCCATAAACCTCTGTGGACAGTGGCTCCTTTGCCAGGGTTTTGCTTGGGCCTACTGGGCTAGTTCTGCTCACTCAGCCTGCCAGGCTGTGCTCAGCACACACTACATGCCTGGATCCCATGTCTGCCAAGGGCTAGTCAGGGGTGGAGCAGTGAGGGGTGTGTGAGTGAACATGAAGTCTGGCCACTGCAGCTGGGTGGGCAGCTCCAGGTGCCGGCATGGGCACCAGCTCTCTGTGATGCTGTGGCTGAACCAGATGCACTGCAAGCAGCTTCCACAGCTGGCACTGGAGGACGTGGTGACGCCCAGAAGCTTGGAGATGCCAGGAACCACAGGGCCCCAAAGAGGAAGTGACAGCCCTGGCTAGAGGAGCTCCCAGATCTAGGCTCCCTGAAGGCCCACAGCTCTTCTCTCCTCTTTGTCCGCAATGTGGTGAGCATGGGACATGTTTCAGCCCTGTTTGTTTTACAGCTGTTTTAGCCCTGCCATCCAACAGGTCCCAAGTTCTTGTCCTGCGACCAGGAAGAATGAGATACACAAAGAAGTGGAGGGTGAGCAAGATGAGGAATGGGTGTTCAGCTCTGAGCTGAAAGGAGACCCTGGAGTGGGAAGCTCCTCTCTACAGGCAGGTCATTCCATTGTCTCTGCAGCTCTCAGCAGAGAGGAGGCCTTGGTATGGGTAGTACCTCTCTGCAGCTTGTCGTCCTGATATCCGCTCAGCTCTGGCTGAGCCCAGGGCTTTTATGGGCCTCAGAGGGGAGAAAGTGCATGCCAATTCGTCCATGGGTGGCCATGGGCAGGCCCAGAAAAGGGACCACAATTTTCCACTCTAGTGTACAGGACTGGCAGCCTAGTTTCCAGCCTTCAGACCCTCCCTGGCCTGAAGGTGGGGCCTCACCGGGGACCTGCCCCCTTATGCCCAGGAACCTATCTACCTCCTGCTGCTATTCATGGCGCCCAGACTATCGGTGCCAAGGTGCAGCTGCAGGCCAGCACCGAGCTGCCCTCAGTGCCCCCTCAGCTTCCCTCCCATGCTTGTCAGTGCCCAAAGTCCAGAGGGGGCTGAGGGGGCAGTGGGTTGGTGTGTCCAAACATGTGCACAGTCAGCGGGGCTATGACAGCACCTGGGCTTGGCTCTGACTTTGCTCCAAGATCAAAACAGGTGCTGACAGCAGGGAGAAGCCAGCAAGCAAGAGCAGGCACTTCCAAGCCTGCAAGGTCAGGGGAGGCCTTCCCAGGCCCCCAAGAGAGCAGAGATGCAGTGATGCCTGGGTCTGCAGCTGCAGTTTCGGTGGCTGCAGCTGTGCCCAGGGGAGCACAGTTCCTGCCTGCTCTGTGGTGCTGGAGGCCTGGGTCCACAGCCGCAACTTGGGCTGCTGAAGCTGTGCCTATGAGAGCTGGGCGCCACCCCTGCTCCCGGGCCCTGAGAGCACAGAGATGCCTGGGTCCACAGCCATCGCTTGGGAGGTTGCAGTGGAACTGGGAGAGCTCCCACTTCAACTCAGAAGGAGCAGGGCTCCCACTTGTCCCCAGCTCCTGCTGGCTCCATGGAGTGTGCAGCCCCAGACATGCCTCCCTGCTGCAGTCCACATGATGGCAGCAGCTTCTCCAGACAGCTGCCACTGCCATCAATATCTTTTATCAGTTTTTTAGTTTTCCTCATAAATATATGAGGGTAATGTATGTATTTTGTTAGGTTTGTACCTAAGTATTTCATTTTGGGAAATGTTAATGTAAATAATATTGTCTTTTAAAATTCAAAATTTCTTCTGTTCATTGCTGGTATGAAAGAAAGCAATTGATTTTTCTGTATTAACTTTGTGTCCTGCAACCTTGCTGTAATCAATTATTAATTTCAGAGGTTTCTTTGGCTGATTCTTTTGTATTTTCTACGTAAAAACATTGTGTCATCTGTAAACAGAGATAATTTTTTCTTCCCAAATAATATACAATTTATTTCTTTTATTGTCTTATAGCATTAGATGTGACATGAAAGTGGTGAGAGGTGATATCCTTTAACTTGTTATTGATCTTTGCTTCCAGTTTCTCACCATTAAGTATGATGTTTGTTGTAGAACATTTGTGTAAGTGTTCTTTATACAATTGAGGAAGTTCCCCTCTATTCCTAGTCTATTGAGAGTTTTTATCATGACTGGGTGTTGGATTTTCTCAAATGCTTTTTCTGCACCTATAAATAGGATCATGTGATTTTTCTTTTTTAATTTTTTGAAGTCATGCATTACATTAATTGATATTCAAAGATTGAACCAGTCTTGCATGCCTGGAATTAATTCCTCTTGGTCATAGTGTGTAATTTTTTGTATACATTGTGGGATTCAATTTGCTAATATTTTGTTGAGATTTTTACACCAATTTTCATGAGAGATACTCTGTAGTTTTCTTAAACTGCCTTTGTTTGATTTTGGTATTAGGGTAATGCTGGCCTCATAGAATAAGTTAGAAAATATTACTTCTGTTTCTGGCTTCTGAGGAAGACTATACAGAATTGGTATAATGTATTTCTTACATGTTTGCTAGAATTCACAGGTAAATACCTCTGGACCTGGCGCTTTCAGTTTTGGACAGTTAATTATTGATTAAATTGCTTTCATAGGTATCAGCCTATTTAGATTATTTATTTTTGTGTAAAATTTTCTATCAGGAAATTAGTTCATTTCATCTAGATTATGAAATCTGTTGGCATAAAATTGTTCATAACATTTCTTTACTATCCTATTAATGTCCATGGGATTTGGAATGGTATCTACTCTTTCTTTTCAATATTAATAATTTTTATTTTCTTCATTTTTTTCTTAGTTTCCAAGACTAGAGACTAATAATTTTTATGAGTCTTTTCAAAAAACCAGTCTCTTCTTTCTCTACTGATTTCCTGTTTGCAATTTTATTATTTTCTGCTTTAATTTTTGTTATTTCTTTTTTTCTGCTTACTTTGGATTTAATTTTCTCTTTTTTTTTTCTAGTTTCCATGGGTGGAAGTGGAGATTATTAATTGTATATCATTCTTCTTTTCTAATATATATATCCAAAGCCATAAATTTCCCTCTAAGCATTGCTTTAGCTATATTCCACAAATTTTAATAAGTTGGGTTTTTGTTTTCATTAGTTCAAATATTTTAAAATTTATCTGAGATTTATTGTTTGACCCATGTGTTATTTAGAAGTATGTTGTTTTATCTTCAAGTATTTTGAGATTTTTTTTGCTACATTTCTGTTATTGATTTTAGTTTTTGTTATTTCCAAAAGTCCATTGAATTCAATTGTTGTCTGAGAACAGGCATTATATGATTTCTACTCTTTGAAACTTGTTAGGTATGTTTTATTGCCCACAATGTGGTCTATCTTAGTAAATGTTCCATGTGAGCTTGAGAAGAATGCATAATGGGTTGCTGTTGGATGATGTTGTCTCTAGAGGTCAATTATACACAGTTGATTGATGATGCCATAAAGATCAACTATATGCCTACTGACTTTTGGGCTACTGGATATTTCATTTTCTTATAGAGTTAAAGTCCCCAAATATAACAGTAGATTCTTCTATTTTTCTTTGCAGTTCTATCCACTTTTGGCTTGTATATTTTGATGCTCTATTGTTAGGTACAGAGACATAAAGAATTATTGTTTTCTTGGAGTACTGACCCCTTTATCATTGTGTAATGCCCCCTTTATCTCTGATAACTTCTCTTTTTCTGAAGTCTGCTCTGTCTAAAATGATTTTAGCTACTTCAACTTTCTTTTCATTAATATTAAGATTGTATCTCTTTCTCCATCCCTTTACTTTTAATTTATATGTATTTTATAGTTACAGTTAGTTTCTTGTAGACGACATACAGTTAAGTCTTGTTTTTTCATCCATTTTGATGATTTTTGTCTTTTAATTGGTATATTCAGACCATTGATGTTTCCAGTAATTATTGATGTAGTTGGATTAATATGAACCATATTTGTTACTGTTTTCTACTTCTTTCCCTTGTTCTTTGTTCCTATTTTTTGTCTTCCATGCTTTTTCTGCCTTTGTGGCTTTAATTGAGTGTTTTGTATAATTTCATTTTCTTTCTATTTTCAGCATGTCAATTATAACACTTCTCTTTAACTTTTTTTAGTGGTTACCCTAGAATTTGCAACATACATTTACAACGAATCCAAGTTCACTTTCAAATAACACTATACTGCTTCACAGGCAGTGCAACTTTGGGAGGTTGATGGGGTGAATCACTTAAGCTCAGGAGTTCAAGACCAGACTGGGCAAAATGGCAAGACCCCATCTCTACAAAAAACACAAAAATTAGCCAGGCATGGTGGTATGTATCTGTGGTCCCAACTACTTAGGATGTTGAGGTTGGGGAGAATCACTTGAGCCTTGGAAGGGGAGATTGCAGTGAGCTGAGATCACACCACTGCACTCCAGCCTGGGTGACAGAGTGAGACCTGGTCTCAAACACAAAACAAAGCAAAAGAGAATGTCCTCTGCCAAAGCATGGTTATTCTTCTCAGATATTCATATTCACTGTGAGGACCTGGTAGAGCTCATGGAGGTAAAACACACAAAAATGTGAGGGGCCCCTCTTTATCATGGTACCTACCCTTTGAGTTTTTAACTCTTACTTTCGTCCACACTGAGACTCTGGCAGTTTCTCAACTACAGTTTAGTTTTTCCTACTCTGGCACTGGTTCCCATGAAGGTTTTTAGTCATGGGTTTCTGCTCTGGTACCTTGTGATTTTTCCATATTTACCTGCCTGTCTCTCCAATTTTGGAGGCAGTGGTTTATCTTGTGACATCACTTATCTTACTGATTTAAAAAAATTACTGGCCGGGTGCAGTGGCTCAAGCCTGTAATCCCAGCACTTTGGGAGGCTGAGGGGGGTGGATCATGAGGTCAGGAGTTTGAGACCAGCCTGGCCAACATAGTGAAACCCTGTGTCTACTAAAAATACAAAAAATTAGCCGGGCGTGGTGGCACATGCCTGTAATCCTAGCTACTCCAGAGGCTGAGGCAGGAGAAGAGCTTGAACCCGGGAGGTTGCAGCGAGCTAAGATGGCACCACTGCACATCAGCCTGGGCGACAGTCCAAGGCTCCATCTCAAAATAAATAAATAAATACATAAAATTAAAAAATAAAATAAATTACTGGTTTTCCATTTGTTCAGTTTTCTATTTGTTGTTAGGATGCAGTAGCAACTTCTAAGCTTCCTACATGCTGAAGCTGTAGTCTTTATTTTTAGGTTCACAGCAAAGTTGGTGAAATGTGCAGAGTTCCCATGCACACCCTTCTGCCCCAACATGTAGAGCCTTCCCATGGTAAACATCTAACAATAAAGTGTATTTGTTACAACAGAAGAAGAAACATTGCCACATCATCAACCAAAACCCATGGTTTACAAAGGTTCACTCTTGGTGTTGAAGTTCTTTGGGTTTTGACAAATTTGTGACATGTATCTACTATTTTAGTATCATTTAAAATAGTTTCATTGCCAGGAAAATCCTCTCTACTCCACCCATTTAGTCCCCCTGCCATTACCCCAAACCTGAGAAAACTACCGAGTTTTTTTACTCTCTCTGATTTTTTTTCTTTTTCAAAATGTCATACACTTGGAAACATATGGCCTCTTAACACTGGCTTCTTTCACTTAGTAATTTTTATTTAGGGTTCTTCCATGACTTTTAGTGGTTTGGTGGCTTATTATTTTTAGTACTGAATAATGTTCCATTATATAGATGTATTATGATTTATCTATCCATTGACCTGTAGAACATCTTGGTTAGTTCCACATTTTGGCAATTATGAATAAAGCTGCTCTAAATATCCGTATGCAGATTTTCCTATGGATGTATGTTTTCAACTTGTTTGGTTAAATACCAAGGAGCACGATTACTGGACCACATAGGGAGAATACGTTTAGTTTTGTAAGAAACTGCCAAGCTGTTTGCTGAAGTGGCTTCACCATTTGTATTTCTACCAGAAATGAATGAAAGTCCCTGTTGCTCCACATCCTTATCAGCCTTTGGTGTTGTGTTTGGGATTTTAGCAATTCTAATAGGTATGTAGTGATAGCTCATTGTTGTTTTAATTTGCATTTCCCTAATGACAAATAATGTTGAGCATCTTTTCATGTGCTTATTAGTTATTTATATATCATCTTTGGTAGACTGTCTTCTGTTTTTTCTCCACTTTTTTTGACTGACTTATTTGTCTTTTCATTATTGATTTGTAAGAGTTCTTCATAAATTCTGGATAGAAACCTCATATTGGATATGCGTTTTGAAAATATTTTCTCCCAGTCTGTTGGGAGACTGCTCACGTTTTTATTTTCTTAATAATGCCTTTTTATGAGCAAAAGTTTTTTATTGACAAGGTTAAACATTTTTTAAAAAATTGTATGCACCATGCTCTCAATTTGCCCCCTTTATATCTACCTACCTATTAATCTATGTCTGTAATGCATTGTCTTGATAACTATAGCTTTATAGTAAATTTTGAAACCAGAAAGTAGAAGTCCTCCAACTTCATTCTTATTTTTAAATAATATTTTGTTTTTAAATTGTTTTGACTATTCTAGATGTTTTGCCTTTCCATATAAGTTTTAGGATTTGGTTATCAATTTCTGAAAAAAAGCATGCTATAATTTTGATAGGGATTATGTTGAATTCATACATCAATTGGGGAGGAATTGTCATCAACATAAACTGAGTCTGTAAACTCATGAACATGGAATGTCTCTCCACAGTTTTGTGATCAGTTTATACGCCTTACACTTTTTTGTTACGTGTACTTCTAAGTATTGTACTTTTTTAGTGCCACTGTGAATAGAATTGTATTCTTAATTTTAATTTTGGAGTGGACACTGCTTGTATATAGAATAACAATTGACTTTTTATACTAATCTTGTCTCATGTGGCCTTGGTCTACTTGTTTATTCTTTTTTTTTTTTTTTTTTTTTTTGAGACAGAGTCTCACTCTGTTGCCCAGGCTGGAGTGCAGTGGCATCATCTTGGCTCACTGAAACCTCCACCTCCTGGGTTCAAGCAATTCTCCTGCCTCAGTCTCCCAAGTAGTGGGGACTACAGGCGTGTGCCACCACACCTGGATAATTTTTGCATTTTTAGTAGATACGGGATTTCACCATATTGGTCAGGCTGGTCTTGAACTCCTGACCTCGTGATCCACCCACCTCGGCCTCCCAAAGTGTGTGTTTATTCTAATTTTTTTTTGTTTTACTTGTAGTTGGATTTTTTAGGATTTTCCACAAACAGGATGGTATTCACTGTGAATAAATAAAGTTTTACTTTTTGATTTTCAATCTGGATGTCTTTCTTTTTTTTCATTTTACTTGTAGTTGGATTCTTTAGGATTTTCCATAAACAGGGTGATATTAACTGCGAATAAATAAAGTTTTACTTCCTGATTTTCAATCTGGATGTCTTTCTTTTTTTCCCCTTTCTTTCTGTTTTACTGGTTTTGTTTTGTCATTTTGCCTGATTTCCTTGGCTAGAACCTCCAATACTATGTTGTAATGGAGTCTGACTTCATTTTTCACATTTGACAGCTGACAACGTCCAAGTCCCACCATTCCCCTTTTCCTTTGGCCTAACATTTCTTCGAGCTCATAAAGAATGTCCAGGTGCTCTTTTCCTAGATACACAAAACCTACCCTGTATAGAAACCCTCATGCCAGCTTCACCCTCCAAAAACTGGAAACACTCACCCTTCCCTTCACTCAGACCATTTTCAGAGAGGCTTTGGTATCTGCCCTGCTTTCCTCAGAAAGCCTATATATGTGATAAATCTGCTCAGGCCCTCTTAGTGTGTGTAGTAGACTGAATAATGACCTCCCAAAGATATCAGGTCCTAATCCTTGGAACCTGTAAATGTTCCATTTCATAAAAGAGGGTCTTTGTAGTTGTGAGTAAGTGAAGGATTCTGGAATGGCTAGGCCATCCCAGATCATCCAGGTGTCCTTCTTAGAGAAAGAGGGAGATTAGATACAGCCAGAAGAGAAAAAGAAATACATATAGAGAAAAAGGCAATGTGAAGGCAAAGGAAGAGATTGGAGTGACAGAACCACAAGCCAAAGAATGCAAACGGCCACCTGCAGCTGGAAGAGGCAACAAACCTACTCTCTGTTGGGGCCTCTGGGCAGAGCACACCCATGCAGACAGCTTGATTTTGGCCCACTGATACTTATTTCAGACTTCTGGACTCCTAAAATGTAAGAGAATAAATTTATTTTTATTATAAGCCATGAAGTTTGCAGTAATGTGTCACAGGACCCACATGGAATTAAGCAGGGTGTGTGTGGCATCATCTGTCTCAACATCTGAGGGTGGTTACTCCAGGCCTCTGAGGGGCAGCCGCAAAGCACGTGTTAAACAGCAGAGAAAGAGCGAGTATCTTTGTCTTGTTTCTGATCTTAACATTTTTCTTTCCATATTCTCAAGGGATATTGGTTTTCTTTTCTTATGACGAATTTTATTTGGTATCAGGGTGACACTGAAATCATAAAATGAGTTAGAAATTTTATTCTTTCTCTATTTTTGGGAAGTGTTTGTGGCACGTTGGTATTAATTTATTTAAATCTTTCCTAAAATTCACCAGTGAAGCCATCTAAGCACGAGCTTTTCTTTGTGGGAAGATCTTGCTTACTAATTCATGTATTTACTTGTCATAAACGTAATTTTTTTCAAATATTTCTGTCCCTTTCTCCCCCAGCTTTCAGCAACTAACATTATGCATATGCTGCATATGTTGTGTTTGATGGAGACTCACAGGTCTCTGAAGCTCTGTTTATTTTCCTATATTTCTTTTATTTTAGTAACAGACTAAAAGAGGAATCACTACAGAAACATCTTGTAGTTTGCTGATTCTTTTCTCTGCCAATTCAAACTGGTGTTGAGCCCCTCTAGTAAATTTTTTAAATTACTATACTTTTTATCTCTAAAATATCCACTTGGCCATTTAAAATATATATATTCTATCTCCTTATTGATATTTTCAGACTTGTGAGTCATCACTCTCCTAATATTCTCTACATATTGGTAAGAACTGATTCAAAGTCTTTAATACTTCTACCACCTGGGCTTGCTCATGGGCAGCATGCACCTGCTGCTTGTTTTCTCCTGTGGGGGCCATTCTTTCCTGTTTCTTCGCACGTCTTATGATTTTTGTTGAAAACTGTATTTTTTGGTAATATCATATGATAACTTTGGAAATCAAATATCCTCTCTTCTGGACAGTTTTGATTGGCAGTGGTATTTTAATTTAAGAACTTTTCCAGAATAATTCTATAATGCCATTATCCATCTAGTGTGCAGCCGATGAAGTGTTAGCTTGGTTAGCTTAGTAGTCAGGTAATGATTGGTCCGAGACTTCTTTAAATGGCTTGATCCTGTATGTTTCCTGCCTTTTGCCAAGAGGCTTTGTGTGTGTTGGGGCATTTATTCACCCGCCACTCTGGACATTAAAAAGCCTGTCAGCCTTCACTGCATCCTTTTGCAGAGATACAAGTTGGGCGGAGGTGAATGATTGGTGCCCTTTAAGGTCTTTTCTGGACAGGCATACAACACTGCATGTGCACATGGCCTTCTGTATCCACATAAAGCACCCTATAGACATTTTGTTTTTAAATCTTTTTGCATTTTTGTCTGGGTTCTTGTTTGCCATCACTGGCATCACAGCATTAGGCAGTTTCCAGACTTTCCAAAAAAGTGGAATAAATTGTGTAATCTTTTGTGACTGTCTTCTTTCGTTAAGCATAATGTGTTCAAGCTTCTTTTAGGTTGCAGCATGCATCAGTACTTCATTCATTTTTTTATTATTATTGAAGGATATTCCATTGTTTGGATATACTACGTACTACATTTTAATTGCCTATAAATTAGTTTATGAACATTTGTGTGGATTCTAATTTTTTACTATTATGCATAATGATGCTAAGAACATCTCTGTACAAGAGTTGTACTGAATAGAATTACAGAGCCATAGATCAATTTCATGTTTAATATTTTAAGAAAATGTCAAACCATTTTGGGAACATTTTACATTCTTGCCAGGAGCGTATGATGGTTTCAATTTCTTCACATCCTTACCAACATTTGCTGTAGTCAGACATTTTGATTTTAGCAATCCTAGTAAGTGTCAAGTGGTATCATTAATGACTAATGATGTTAATTATCACTCTATGTGTTTATTGATGATTTGCGTATCTTCTTAAGAATTTTCTATTCAAATATTTGTCTAGTTTTAAATTGGACTATTTATCATTTTTATTATTGAATTGCAAGTGTTCTTTATATATTTGGGTTCAAGTCCCTTATTAGTTATATGATTTGCAAATTTTTTCTCCCAGGCTATAGCTTATCTCTTTTATTGTCTTTATAGTATATTTGAAGAACAAAAGTTTTTAATTTTGGTGGAGTTCAATAATTATTTATTTTCTTTTTGTGCATCTGATTTGTTGTCGTGTCTAATGTAACATTGCCTAACCCCAGGTCATGAATGTTTACTCTTATGTTTTCTTCTGATAAGTTTGTCATTTTAGAGCTTACATTTTGGTCAACAATTTATTTTGAAGAATTTTACATATGATGTGAGGCAGAAATCTAGATTTCTTTTCTTTTTTTGCATGTGAATATCCAGTTGTCCCAATGCTATTTTTTGAAATGACTATTCTATATTTCTCCCCCATTAAATCATCTTGGCACTTTCTTCAAAAACCAATTGGCTATAATGAAGAGTTTATTCTAGACTTTCAGATCCATCCCATTAACATATACATCTCTCCTTGTGCCATTACACAGTATCTTGTTTACTGAGCTTTGTGGTAAGCCTCAGAATCAGAAAGTTATTCCTCTTAAGATTTTTTGTTTTTTCAAAACCTTTGTATTTTCATATAAATTTTCAGATACGCTATCAATTTCAGCAAAAGCCATCTGGGTTTATGACAGTGATTTTACTGAATCTGTAGATTAACTTGGGAATATTACCCTATTAAAAATTTTAAGTCTTCTGATCCATGAAATTTAGCTGCCTTTACATTCATTTTTAAATTGTTTTTAATTTTATTTAACAATATATTATAATTTTCAGTGTGAAAGTCTAATGCTTCTTTTGGAATTTGTTTCTAAGTATTTTATTTTTTATTCTATTGTAAATGAAATTTTCTTAATTACATTTTCAGTTTGTTAATTTCTCAGGCATAGAAATATAATTCATTTTTTATATTGATCTTCTATCCTGTAAACTTACTGCACTCATTTACTAGTTCTAACAGTTTTTAATAGATTCTGTAGGATTTTCTAATTATAAGATGATATCATTTGCAAGTAGATATATTTTTATTCTTTTTTCCCAAGAATAATGTCCTTTATTTCTTTTTGTTACTAAATTGCATTGGCTAGAACAAACATAAAAATATTTTAAAGAAGTGGCAAAGGTGACGTCATTGTCTTGTTGCTACTTATGGGGGAAACATTCAGTCTTTTACTATAAAGCGCTATGTTCGCTGTGGGTTATTCGTAGATGCGTTTCATCAAACTGAGGAAGTTGTCTACTATTCTTAGATTGTTGAGTATTTTTATCACAAAAGAACATTGGATTTTATCAAATACTTTTTCTGACTCTATTGACATAATCATGTGATTTTTGTTCTCTATTAACATGGTTTATCATTTCTTACTGCTGCTGTAACAAATTACGGCAATTAAGCAGTTTAAAACAATTTGTTATTTTAAAATTCTGAAGGTCACAAGTCTCAAATAGGCCTCACTGGGCTTAAACTAAGCGTTCAGAGAACTGAGTTCCTTTCTGGAAGTGCTAGGGAAGAATCTATTTCCTAGATTTTTCCAGCTTGAATGGGATTTCTGCATCCCTTGGCTTGTACTTTCCTCCCATTCCAAAGACAGCAATAGATGGTGGGGCACGTCTCACATTGCATCATTGGGTCATTGGCTCTCTTACCTCCCTCTATTGCTTATAAAGAATCTTGTAATTATATTGGATCCTTCCTGACAATCCAGAATAAGCTCTTCATCTCAGACAGCTGATTAGCAAATCTAATTTCATTTGTAATTTGGATTCCCCCTTGATGTGTAGCCAAGTATCATTATTCTGCCTACCTACTACACAAAACAGCATGGTACTGGTACTACCATTTGACCTAGCAGTCCCATTATTGGGTATATACCCAAAAATATATAAATAATTCTACCATAAAGAGACATACCTATGTGTGTTCATCCCAGCACAGTTCACAATAGCAAAGACATGGAATCAACCTAAATGCCTGTCAATGGAAAACTGGATAAAGAAAAGTGGTACACATAGACCATGGAATACTATGCAGTCATGAAAAAGAATGAAATCATGTGCTTTGCAATAACATGGATGGAGTTGGAGGCCATTATCCTCAGCAAACTAACACAGGAACAGAAAACCAATTACCACATGTTCTCACTTATAAGTGGGAGCTGAACACCAAGTACATATGGGCACAAAGAAGGGAACAACAGACACCTTGGCCTATATGGGGGTGGAGGGTGAGAGGAGGGTGAGGATTGAAAAAAATACCTGTAGTGTGCTATACATATTACCTGGCTAACAAAAAATCTGTACACCAAATGTATCCATGTAACAAACCTGCACATATACCCCTGAACCTAAAATATGTTTTTAAAAAGAAATAATATAGAAATATTGCATATACCCTACATCTAATTCCCCTCAATGTAATATCATATAGATATATAGTACAATATCAGTCCTGGAATATTGATATGGATACATTTACAATTCTGAACAGTTCCATCATGACAAGTATCCCTAGTAGTGCCCCTTTACAAACACATCCATCACCTTCTCTCTCAACCCACCTTTGTTTCTGACTCCTGGAAACTACTAATCTGTTCTCCATTTCTATGATTGTGTCATTTCAAGAATGGAGATATACCTAATGCTGGATGACGAGTTAATGGGTGCAGCACACCAGCATGGCACATGTATACGTATGTAACTAACCTGCACATTGTGCACATGTACCCTAAAACGTAAAGTATAATAATAATAAATAAAATAAAAAATAAAAATAAATAAAGAAAAAATAAAAATAAAATGATATAAATTAAAAAATAAAAAAAGAATGTTATATAAATGAAATTATACTATGTCACATTTGGGGAAGGGCCTTTTTTATTCAGTGCAATTCTCTGGAGATTAATTCAGGTTTTTGCGTGTAACAATAGTTTGCTCCTTTTTCTTACTGAGTAGTAATCCACAGTGTCGATTTTCCGCTGTTTATTTACCCATTTGCTTTTTGAGGGAAATCTGTGTGTTTCCAGTTTGGAGATATTATGCATAAAATAGCTATAAACATTCATGTACTGGGTTTTATGTGAATATCCCTTTCATTTCTCCGAGATAAATGCTCAAGGATGGAATTGATGGATTGTAAAATGATTACATGTTTAGATTAAAAGAAAAATTCCAAAATGTTTCTTCAGACTGGCTGTACCATGTTAAATTCCCATGAACAATAAATAAACCATGCAGTTTTTCAACATCCTTTATAGCATGTTTGTTTGTTTGTTTGTTTGTTTAAAAATAGCCTTCTGGTATGTGTGGAATAATAACTAATTGTGGTTTTCTCTTTCATTTCCCTAATGGCTAATGATGTTGAACATGTTTTCATTTATTTATTTGCCCTCTGTTTACCCTCTTTGACACAACCTCCCTTCCTGTCTGTCACCCATTTTCTAATAGGAATATTTGTTTTTTTTACTATTAAAATTTCAGAGTTCTTGATGTATTCCAGCTATGAATCCTCTGCTGGATGTATAATTTGTAAATATTTTCTCCCGTTCTGTAGCTTGCCTTTTCATCCTCTTATTAGGGTCTTTAACAAAGAAAATGTTTTTTAATTTTGATGAAGCCCAATTAATCAATTTTTTTTCTTTTCTTTCTTTTTCTCTATAATTCTTCTTAATATGATGGGCTCAGTTGGCTAGCATTTTGTTGAGGGTTTTTGTGTTTATATTCATAAGGAATTTAGGTCTTTAGTTTTTGTTTTGTTTTGTTTTTCTTGTGATGTCTGTGTCTAGTTTTGATATTTGGGTAATGGTGGCTTCATAGAAAGAATTGAGGAATGTTTCCTCCTATTCTATTTTTTGGTAGAGTTTTGTAAAGGATTTGTATTAATTTTTCTTAAATGTTTGGCAGTAAAGCCATCTGGGCCTGGTCTCTTCTTTGTGGGAAGTTTCTGAATTACTAATTTAATCTCTTTACTTGTTACGAGTCCATTAATATTTTCTATTTTTTATTGAGTCAGATTCTTGTTTGTCCCAGCTGGCATTGCAGCTCAGACTGCTACAATATTAAATAATTGTTGCTGACTGGTTTGCTGAGAAACACCCCAGAGATAGGGCTTTTTCTGCAAAGCAAGCTCTGAATCAAGTCAAATAATGACAATGCCCCCAAATGGGGCTTTTCCAGGGAGCTTCAAGACAGGTCAGATAGTGGTAAAGCACTGGGGGTGGCATCTTTTGAGGAATTTCCATCCCCATCCAGGGACTTCCAGCCTGCTGGCTTTTACAACTGCTTGGTTTTGAGGCAAACAGCTTTCAAGGTTGTGAGGCACTTGAGAGAGGAGAATGGGAGTAGGCCAAAGTGAAAGCCACTGACCCTTCTATTCTTAACCAGATTTGGCAACTTTGTTTTAATTAATGCTTTTCAGAGTGTTGTAAGCCTTTGGTTAATTTCCAGAGATGGGAAAAGTTTAAAGTTTAATGTTGACAATTTTTGCCAACAGTTTCAGTGCTTCTAATGGAGGGCTGGATTTACAGAGTTTCTCACTACACCATTCCAGAATGTTCCCCAAACTGTACTCTGCTGTTACTGTCTGGTTGTAGGTAAGATAAAGCAATTAAAAGTGGGTGGGGGTGGGCGGGGAAGCAACTTAAGCATTTCTAACCCACTTTGGAAAGTCAAGCATCCTTCAATGGGCTTCCTTGGTTTTGCCAGTCATAATGTAAAATAGAGTCAATTACAAATTAAGTTGTGAGCACAAAGGTAGCCATGACATATGTGGAGAAATTTATGGTCACCTTCATAAGTAAAAAACTATTTATATACTCATTTTTTGAATGGCTCAACTACAAGCCCATATTTTTCTGATTATGAAATATTTTAGCCTCCAAAACAGTATAGTGAACAATATGATAAATATCCACATACCATCACTTAGCTTAAGAAATTAAGCATTGCCAGTCCTTTTGTTTCCTGAAACTTATTTTTTTTTAAACCAAGCTCCCAAATCAGTGATATTTTCCTGAAATTTTCTGGAAAGTAAAAGATTTTGGTTTCTATTGTTAAAATAAATAAACCTAAATAGGAAGGGGAGCTGTGGTTACTAATTTCTTAAAAATTGATATAACAGAGGTCTAGAAAAACTTTAGGCATGATTTCCAATCAGCTACTACATTTCTAACACAAAATAACGCATCAATAGTGATGTTGAGCTCTGAGGAAATCCACCCTATTTACAAGCAACAGTGCTCATATTCACATTTGCACATACTGAAAATATCATTTGGATGAGTTTTTGATTTACGAGGGCAGAAGAGAACTTCAAATGAACAGCAAGAGTAAAATTCCTGGTACATTAGTCGATATCTGTTTTTAATATTGTAGGAATTCATTTGAATACGTTGCTTTTGTTCCCTAATCCCCCGAACTAACATTTGTATCAAAGTTACCTGACGATATAAGCACAGTACACTGTAGAATGAAAACGTCTTTTCAAATATTTATCCTTTCTCTGGGGAATTTTAAGAATTGCTGAATTAAGGGATGGTTTTAACCAGAAACACAAGTACTCGCTAATTCCAAACAAATGAAAACCAAAGACATAATTGTAGTTTTCATCATGGTGTTCTTTATACGTGATCAATGAGAAAATTTTCTACCATTTTAACAAAAAAAATGTTTGCTAGTCACTTTTATATCATCAATATTGCTGGCAATAATAAAAATAATATGCTTATTTTACTCATACGATGTCACCATATTTTATTCTGTTATTTCCTGAGAAACCTAAGGTTCAATGAGTATCATATTTTATTTCTGTAGACCATTCAGTGCTGGTAGTACTGATGGCTGTTATTTGGTACTGCTTCTTCAAACATTGACGAAGAGCTTCTTTCAGTGGTTCCTTTCAAGTGGTCAATGGACTGAAGACAGGTTGATTATTTTTCACGTTTTTCAAAATTATAATTACAGTGTGATTCCCCATTAGAAAACGAACTTGGTGTGCGTGTAAACTCAAGTGGCTAGATGACAGCCAGTCCCTGCAGGATGAACCGTCACAGAGTTGGCAACCTCGGAGGCAGGGAAAGAAGGGAAAAAGGTCCAAAGAACAGCCTCTCCCTCAGAAAGCCTGGTTCTTCAACCATCGGGATCTGTCGGCACTTACCTGAGAGGCATAAGGGCCCTCTTCTTCTCTGTATTTGGACATGGGTGTAGATTTCACCAGAATTTAAACTAGAAGGAAATATAGGAGACATTCCTGAAGAAGCCTATATGCTCATAACTTCCAAATTAATATCTTACTCATATATGTTACTTGACCACCAAACATTTACATCCAGTTTTCAATTTGCCATTGCCGCCTGGATAGACAATCAAAGATGTTTATAGTGTAACACATTTATTTATTTATTTATTTATTTATTTATTTATTTATTTATTTATATTTTTATTTTTCTGAGACCAAGTCTCGCTCTATTGTCCAGGCTGGAATGCAGTGGCACAATCTCGGTTCACTGCAATCTCTGCCTCCCGAGTTCAAGTGATTCTCGTGCATCAGCCTCTGGGTAGCTGGGATTACAGGCATGTGCTGCGCCTGGCTAATTTTTGTATTTTTAGTAGAGATGGGGTTTTGCTATGTTGGACAGGCTAGTCTTGAACTCTTGGCCTCAAGTGATCCACCTGCCTCCGCCTCCCAAAGTGCTGGGATTATAGGCGCAAGCCAAGTGCCCAGCCTATAACATAGCACATTTAAAATTGAACTTCCAACTCCTGCTTTCTCATCTTTCCCCCATAGTCCATCTTACCTCAGCAGGTGGCAATTTCATCTTTCCTGTGGCTCTGGTCATAGAATTGAGCGTCATTTATTAATTCTTTCTCTTACATATCCCACATCCAATCCATCTGCAAATGTTGTTGGCTCTAGTTTTTAAATATGTTCAGTATATGCTTCTGTTCATCTTCATCACTACCAAAGCTCAAACCTACTAAAAGATCTCCCCACTTTCTACTTGTTCTTTATTACTATTTTCAAAATAGTGGCCAGAATGATGCCTTTGAGGCATGAGTCAGAGCATGTCATGCTTATCCTCATAATTCTCCAGTGGCTTCCTCTCTCCCTTAAAGAAAGAGCTGGAGTACTAACCATGGCACTGAAGACCCTGTACAACCTCCCGCCTTGCTGATTCTCTGACTCCGGCACCTAACAGCACTCCTCTTGTTATTCACAATCCTGGAGCCACTCAGGCCTCCTTGCTCTTCCTCAGGTGCACCAAGCCAGTTCTGGTCTCAAGATCTTTGTAAGTATTTTAACCTGTGGCTAGAATCTTTTTCTCCCAGATATCCACATGGCTTCCAATTTTACTTCCTACAGTCTCTGTTCAAATATCATTTCATCATAGAGGGCTCCTCTGATGTCTTTTAGGAGATAGTCTCTGCTTCCTTACTTCTCTCTCCATCTTACCACACTTCATTTTTCTCCATAGCGTTTATCACCCCCTTACATAAACTATTTAATTAAATATAAGTTGCAATGATTGTAAGATACATGGTTATTTTATGTATCACTAAGAAAGAAAATATACTGCCAAGACCAGCTTGGTTGGGGAGACCCTAACTCAGTGGCGCTAGAGGAATTAAAGACACACACACAGAAATATAGAGGTGTGGAGTGGGAAATCAGGGGTTTCAAAGCCTTGAGAGCCGAGAGCCTCAAACAGAGATTTACCCACATATTTATTGACAGCAAGCCAGTGATAAGCACTGTTTCTATAGATTATAGATTAACTAAAAGTATTCCTTATGGGAAACAAAGGGATGGGCTGAAATAAAGGGATGGGTTGGGCTAGTTATCTGCAGCAGGAGCATGTCCTTAAGACACAGATCACTCATGCTATTGTTTGTGGTTTAAGAACGCCTTTAGCAGTTTCCCGCCCTGGGTGGGCCAGGTGTTCCTTGCCCTCATTCCGGTAAACCCACAAGCTTCCAACGTGGGCGTCATGGCCATCAAAAACATGTCACAGTGCTGCAGAGATTTTGTTTATGGTCAGTTTTGGGGCCAGTTTATGGCCAGATTTTGGAGGCCTATTCCCAACAATATACTGCTAATTAAACTGTGAAACAATACTTTATTTGATTTGAATTTTTATTTTAATCATACTAAGAGAGCTCTTTTAGACATACTTAAACATGGATTTCTATCACCTGTCACCCTTATGCTTATAAAAAAATGAAAAGGACAAACAAAAAAGGTTGAGTTATTCCTAAAACTTGTTCACATTAAGAAAGAGTAAATTGTCTATATCCCTGATTTTCTACACAATATCATATTTTGTACATTCAAGAGCTATTAATAATTTGGTGTTTTTTCTAAAAAATAATGCTCTAGTAATGACTTTTGCATTTTCTTCTCTGCTCCTGAATATTGTACAAGTTTTGATGGATGCTTTTTTGATTTGACTAAAGTCAAATACATAAATCTGTCACACCAGCCTCTTATTACTCTGAAGAACTTTTTCTCCTCCAAGGGGTATAGCCACATTTGCTGCTTGTAGGGAAACTGTTCTGCTATGGTGCCATGGTGATCTTGCACAGATCTACTTAGGAACACCTTATGATCTCTGCAAGAAGAGAGGATGGGGGGCTTGTAATGAGCTGCCTCAAAAGCTTCTCGTGGCAGGTCATGGTGGCTCCCACCTGTAATCCTGGCACTTTGGGAAGCCAAGGTGAATGGATCGCTTGAGCCCAGGAGTTTGACATCAGCCTGGATAACATGGCCAAACCTCATCTCTACAAAAATACAAAAATTAGCTGGGTGTCTTGGTAAGCATTTGTGGTCCCAGCTACTCAGGAAGCTGAGGTGGTAGGATCACCTGAGTTCAGAGGGTTGAGGCTGTAGTGAGCCTTGGTCGTGCCCCTGCATCCCAGCCTGAGCTACAGAATGAGACCCTTTCTCCCTCCACCCTCCCACCCCTGCCAAAAAGCTACTTGCATTGGTCTCCCTGTCTACCTTGGGAGGCATCATAAGTCAGTTTCTCATTGCCTCTCAGGTTTCTGCTCCTCCCCGTAAAGGGACAGCTTCAGACCTTACAACTGTTCAGCTAAGGTCTAGACTGTGTTCCTGAGCCTCAGCATGTCCCATAAGTCACGCTGGATTGTGTCCTAGCATCTTTGGTTTTGATATCATTTTTGCTACCTAGGACAAGGACTGCAGGGAGCTGGCCCCCATTAGGCATTGATGTAAGTAATAAACTATTTGCATTTAAAATTGGCTGAATCGCACCTTGACTTCCGCCTTGCCTCATATTATGGTCTTGGCACTGCCTTCTGATGAATTGCTTGGTCTGTATTAGTTCAGTGCCTTTTGCATACATCTCAGTTGGAAAATAAGTCAACAGCTTTATTTATATATAGGCACTTTTGTTTTCTCAGCCATAGCATGTTAAAGCTTATTGCTCTGCAGGAAAGTATAGAAATCAGGTATTCTTCCAATAATGAATATTCGTCTAACAAATATTAAATTTATGTCCTGCTGGTTTATATCTGTGCATTTCTGCATAAAAATTTTGGCATTGATGTCATGTCATAATGTGGTCTCTTAGAAAATACTTTTACATGGCAAATAAACTCAACATGTGTGGTACAATGGACATAACTCATATGACTCAAATATCTAAAATATGAAGAATTATAATTAAGTTTACATACCACAAATGCCACCTAGCCAAAAGTGAATATAAGATGAGCTCAATTGTAAGATGAACCTCAATGTCAAAGATTAAAGCGTGAACAATTATGGATTTTTGAATGGAGGGAATTTAGTGCATACTTGCCTGTTTGCTTCATGGCTATCTCTCACCCATGGAATGAAAGTTTCATGAGAAGGGACTCTGTGGTTTTATTCAGTATTCATACCTCCAGAGCCTAGAGTATGGCTGACATATAGTATGCTGTCAAAACTAGTTTGCTGGCCAGGCAAGGTGGCTCACGCCTGTAATCCCAGCACTTTGGGAGGCCGAGGTGGGTGGATCACCTGAGGTCAGAAGTTTGAGACCAGCTGGGCCAACATGGTGAAACCCTGTCTCTACAAAAAATACAAAAATTAGCCAGGTGTGGTGGCACATGCCTGTAATCCCAGCTACTTGGGAGGCTGAGGCAGGAGAATCTCTTGAACCCAGGAGGTGGCGGTTGCAATGAGCCAAGATCACACCACTGCACTCCAGCCTGGGCAACAGAATGATGCTCCGTTTCAAAAAAAACAAAAAAATACAAAAAAAAAAAAAACAAAACTAGTGAATAAGTAAGGAAAGAATCTGCTTAGCAATCTTTTCAGCCTACAAGAAACAGGTTGCTGTGGAACTTTTCCCCTTAGTGGGTTTCCCAATATCCTTTTATGATTGATTATTGATAACTAAGCACAACTTAACAAAACTCAACTGCAAACAAGGTTGAGTGGAAAGTGCAGATCAAAGTATCTTTGAAAGGCTAATATAGAAACAGAGCCTCATATTTAGGATGATAGAGACAGGAGACGGGAAGGCTGAATTTATTTCTATTGCCATCTACAAAGGGGACTCAAATTCTCAACCTTCCACGGCTCATTCAACTACGTTCCATTTCATTCAGGTCACTCTTCTCACAGGCATCATAATTAAAGGTTTCATTTCTAGAGTAAGGTAACTTTTTATATGCTTCATCCTATCCCTGTAGTGCTATTCTTTTCTCCTTTTGCAACATTCATAGGTTTCTTATTGTCCCTAAATGTTAATTTGCTGCTGAAATTGGCTTAGGTGGCTGCCTTTTAAAATAGCGCCCAAATTCCTTTGCACCTACATCTTTACAAGTAAGGCATGGTTACAATGGTGGACAGAAAATGTCCGTCCAGACATGTATTTTGATATACACAAAAGAAATGTGTCTGTGTTTATATGCAGGAACTCATTCAGAAACTGCTCAACTAGGAAGTACTTAACCTTTCAGAAACTTAGATGTGTTAAAAAAGGGATTTCGGGGGTCTATAAAATTTACGTGATCTTTAACTCTATACCTTTGAGTTGAAAGAAAAGGGAGGGGGGAATTTTGTGAGAACATAATAAAGTTTTATTGTCCTCCACTGTGGGATCTATTTCGGTGTTCTCTTTTCTTCCTGTTGTATTCTGAAGCTGCAGAGCAGGGTTGCTCTCTGAAGATATTTAGTAATGAGAGAAAGATCCCCAAATAGGCAACTTAAAATGTCAAAGGAGGGAGCAGAGGAGGAAAATAATAAGCTTCAATATTCTCTTTAAAGATCAATTTTTATTTTCTTCTTTCTATTCACTGAAAGAGCTTCATTTGTTTCTATAGCCCTTCTATGTTAATAATGTAAACTCATCTTACATAATTAAGTGCCTGGGATTCCAAAGACTTTCCAGATATTGTGCAGAATATTGGCCTAACAAGGATAACTAAAAATACAGGATAACAAGCAAATGGATTAGGTCTTAACCTCATGTGGAGTGTAAATTATCCACAAAACAAGAACTGAAGTAAAATGAGCATTATCACTAAATGGCAGCATCTGAGGCAAAATTTTCTACCTGCTAATATTTAATGTCACTGCCTTGGAGGACCGGAATCTTAACATAAGTTTCCCTGTATCAGTACATATGTATCACCTAACACTATCAGACACTGATAAATAACTTTTGATGGTGACAAAGTTTCATTAACATAAAGCATTGTGTTTTCATGGCTATTGTATATTGGATGAAACTATCGATAGGGGGACATGGAACCTGGCACCAGTTCCATTAAAAATCTTAATGCAATTTCACCTTCTAATAAATTTCACCGAAGTTATGATTTTGCTACAATATTAAGTTGCAGAGGATCTTATATGAAATCACTCTTGTAAACTGTCCTCTTAGCTATAACTTAAAACATATGTATAAACAAATACTGAAATCTGTTTGAATTTTTAGAAAACATATTGTTTTCAAAATAAATAATCATAGGCTATATCCTGTATGTGGATAAATATTCATTTGTATAAAAATGTTGCAGTGTTTACTTAGTTTTGCCATGAAATCTCATTATCATCTTCACATTTTGTACATTTTAATTTATAAAAATGAGTCTTAGGATTTGAAAATAGAAGTTGTGAAAATAGGAAAAAAAGATACAGAATATGTAGAAAGAAGGGTAAAAATACTGTAGCAATGAGGGAAGTTAGTATTTTTTCTCAGTGTATTTTTTCCATGCCATCAATACTAGGACACAATTAATAAAGTGGCACGGGTTTCTAGCAGCAGCTCAGAATTACCAGGAGATGGGTATGACAAAATAAAAGGATATTTGGGTTTTTATAGTGCTCGTGTGTGTGTGTGTGTGTGTGTGTGTGTGTGTGAATGTTACATGTGCATGTATATTGGAAATGTTATATATATCTTAGGGATACACATTTGGATTTTCATAATACAAAAAACAGTTAATATAAATATATCAACTACAAATATAAATATATTTTTAAAATGTATTTATAATGACATCAGAAATATATATATTTTTAAATTTATTTATAATGACCTCAGAAAAAATCTGAAAACAATATTGTTATTTGTATAATTAGTTGTCCACAAGAGGACAAGAAGCTTAAATTAAATTAATCATTTTAAGTGTGTAAACTTTCCACCCTGACAATTTATCATAATTTTGGCAGGGGAAACCCAGCGAATTTCAAGAGTCTTCAAAAACCTGTACATGAGGTTTCCAGGAAATTATTGGCCTAAGTATTTATCAGCAAGAGATTATACATCTTCTATATGTGTACTGAAATGCCATGTGCCTTGTGGCAGTGGTTCCTTATATTAAAATGGCACCATACATGTTTGTATGTGTGTGTTCATATGTGTATACACATATGGTAAAAATGTTTGCACATATTACAGGCATATTTATGCTTTCACCCATAAACTTTTGCATACAAACGGATATTCTATAATTACTTGCTATGTAGTTATATGTGGCAATGTCAAAAATAAACATAAATTTAAATACAAACTATTAACTAAAAACATTCTATAGTTAATATATCAATTTATTTATTTAACAAATTTTAGGAATATAAATGTTCATTTATTCTACTACTATTTGCTGATTACCAATTAGTATTGAGTACTTGATAGATACTAGAGAGGCAGAGATGAAAAGATGAAAAAGGCCTCAGAGCTGATCACAATCTATCTGAGAAGAAGGTCTGTAGGGCCATTTATAGTGTTTGGAGAAAAATCTGCACTTACTCTAATGAAGCACATTTCTTTCTGCCAGGAAAAGCAAAGCTACTACAAGAACTCACTACATCAATGCGTGTTCATTATTGAGAACATCCTAGGAGAGCGTGCATCATCACAGGCTGCTCTGAGGTCTGTGCCCAATCAAGCAAAGAACAACGGGGATAATCACACTGTGCAGAGGGTGACCAATTTAGAAAAAAAGGACCCTTAAGAAGGTCTTCCAACTTCCTTAAATGACTTTCATTAATTTTACACCTTTTGCCAATTAATTGCACTTATGAGCCTTCCTTGTCAATTACTGCATTCTCATTTTCGGCAATTGAACTAATCTTGGCCTATTCATATTTTGTTTTTTAAATAGGTATTTCCAATTATTGATATAGATCTTTATAATTACATTACAAATGTTTCACCATATTTATTCATTCTTTATAGAGACAAAATAAAGGTTCTATCATCTACACTTAAAACATGTACTTTTTTCTTTACAGCACAACTTACAATATACTCCTTATTTGGTGATTATTTTAAAACAAATATATTCCATTTAAAATATAAGCTCAATAACTACAGATACATGTATGTGTGTGTGTGTGTATATATATACACATACATATATACACATGTGTATATATACACATGAGTATATATGTATATACACACATATATATGTATATATACACATATATATACACATATATATATACACACACATACATGTATTTTTCTTATTCTGTTTTCAGTGTCTGTCTGTCTGCATACATGTTATACAGAAAAAGTTAAATTAGTATTTGATCAATAGTGAGTTTAATGTACATTCATTTTTCACCTGCTGCATATTAAGTGCTGTTAGTTTACAAATATGAGTAAGACCAAAATAAAGCTATCAAGAAACTCAGGGCCTACATTTCAATGTGGCTAGTGCAATCATTGATTTATTTACTGAGTGTTATGATCACACAGAAGAGGTACTAACCCTACTTTTTATTATAGTGAACTGCCTTCTGAAAGTGGCTTACTTAAAGAACATAGCTGGAGGTATTACATTATCTAATTACAAGCTATACTACAAAGCTATAGTAATTAAAACGCATGGTGTTGGCAAAAAAGATATGTAAACCAATGGAATAGAAAACCCAGAAATTAACCCATACCTACAGACAAATGATTTTCTATAAAGCTGCCAAGAATACACAATGGGAAAAATACAGTCTCTTCAATAAATGGTGTTGGGAAAACTGCATTTCCACATGCAGAAGAATAAAATTGGACCTACCTCTCACACTATACACAAAAACTACCCAAAATGGATTAAGGATTTAAACATAAAATCAGAAACTCTTAAACTACTAGAAGAAAACAGAGGGGGAAAAACTATATGACATTGGTCTGGGCAATGATTTTTTTGGATTTGACTCCAAAAGCACAGGCAGCAAGTCCAAAAGCAGACAAACAAGATTACATCAGACTAGAAAGCTTCTGCACATCAAAGAAAACAATTAACAGTTTGCAAAAACAACCTAAGGGTTGGGAGAAAATATTAGCAAACGCATATCTGATAAAGAGTTATAACCAAAGTACATAAGGAGCTCCAAGAACTCAATAGCAGAAAACAAAACAAAACAAAAAATTAAAAAATGGGCAAGAAGTCTGACTAGATAGTTATCAAAAAAAGACATGCAAATGGCCAGCAGATGCATGGAAAAATGTTCAACACGGCTAATCATTCAAAAAATGCAAATTAAAACCACAAAGAGATATCATCTCACACCTGTCTTAATGGTTTCATCGAAGAGCTGAATGATAACACATGGTTGACAAAGCTGTGCAGAAAAAGGAACACTTGCACACTGTTGGTGGAAAATGTAAATTAGCACAATCATTATGGGAAGTAATATGGAGGTTCCACAAAAAACTAAAAATAGAATTACCATATGATCCAGCAATCCCACGTCTGGGTATTTGCCCAAAAGATTTTGAATCAGTTTGACAAAGAGATATCTGCACTCCCATGTTCACTGCTGCACTATTCACAATAGCCAAATTATGGAATCAACATAAATGTCTGTCAGTCAATCAATGGATAAAGAATGGATAAATGAAATACTATTCAGCCTTAAAAAAAAAAAAAGACAATTTTGTCATTTGGGACAACATGAATGGAACTGGAGAACATTATGCTAAGTAAAACAAGTCAGGTACAGTAAGACAAATACTATATGTTCTCACTTACGTATGGAATCTAAAATAATTGAACTCATAGAAGCAGACTTTGGAGTGGCGGTCACAGAGGCTGAGGGGCAGGGAAAATGAGGAAATGTTGGCCACAAGGTACAGAATCCCAATTAGACAGGAAGAATATCTTTTCCTCCTTTTTGAGTTCCACTGCATAATGTGGTGAATATAGTTAAAAATAGAGGCTGGGCGCAGTGGCTCACGCCTATAATCCCAGCAGTTTGGGAGGCCAAGGCAGGCGGATCACCTGAGGTCAGGACTTCGAGACCAGCCTGACCAATATGGTGAAACCCCTTCTCTGCTAAAAATACAAAAATTAGCCAGGTGTGGTGGCATGCGCCTGTACAGCTATTCCGGAGGCTGAGGCAGGAGAATAGCTAGAACCTGGGAGGCAGAGGTTGCAGCGAGCCGAGATCGCACCACTGCACTTCAGCCTGGGTGACAGAGCAAGACTCTGCCTCAAAAATAAATAAATAAATAAATAAATAAATAAATAAATAAATAAAATAGAGTACTGTGCATTTCAAAAGTAATTTCAAATGTCCTCGCTAGAAAATTTTTAAATATTTGAGGTGACAGATACAGTAACTAGCTTGATTTAATTACTCCACATTGTATTTTCATACCCCATAAATTTTAGACAATAATAGTCAATTTATAATAAATAAATAATATTACAATCAATTAATAATTACCAAATGAATACCAGAGAGGTATGTTGTCTTTAAATGATGTCTCTTCCCAAAATGTTCCCATTTGCAACTAAAATAACAAAATACAAGAGACTGGAAACAAAAATTTGTGTGACTTTTTTGTGTGCATTGTAGACTCCACTGCCATGACATGGAACTCCAGAATAGTAATGAATTATGGTTTCAATAAGAACCCATGATAAGACAACTAGGAGGGTAGTAAAATAAAAGTTTCTGAGAGTTCCATCCTTCAATGTCCTATTAACTGTACAAGAAGGCTTCTGGGAAGGTGAAAATCCCTGACAGGATGCAAAACTAATGGCAACAACTGAGCATGTTCCTAAAATCATGGGGTATTTTGCACTAATGGGATTTGCTCCAATACATGACCAAGAGCAGATCTAAAATTTTTCACTTACCAAAAACTGAACCTTGGTCATAGACGGATCTGGAGAATGGTCTGCTCCATATCCATTGACATTATTAGGATTTGGTCGGTCATGTGATGTTGATAGGGTGGTTTCACCTGGGTAACTCCATCCTGAAATAGACTATTTGGGATAGAATTACCACAGGTGTGAATCACATTAAAAACGTGTTTTGGCCATAAATATGAGACAAACCTGGCTATCTTACAGCCCTAACTTTATCTTGATTGTAGAACAAACCACAGGCAGAATACGTGACTCATGGCAGCGAATTTAAAAATTATTTTCTTCGGCCAGGTGCGGTGGCTCACGCCTGTAATCCCAGCACTTTGGGAGGCCGAGGAGGGTGGATCACGAGGTCAGGAGATCCAGACCATCCTGGCTAACACGGTGAAACCCCGTTTCTACTAAAAATACAAAAAAATTAGCTGGGCGCGGTGGCGGGCGCCTGTAGTCCCAGCTACTCGGGAGGCTGAGGCGAGAGAATGGCGTGAACCCGGGAGATGGAGCTTGCAGTGAGCCGAGATCGAGCCACTGCACTCCAGCCTGGGCCAAAGAGCGAGACTCCGTCTCAAAAAAAAAACAAAAACAAAAACAAAATATATACATATATATTTTTTTTCTTCAATTAAATGTATACCTCAAACGTGCATCATTTCTTTGCGTTGGGAACATTCAATATCCTCCTTCAGCCTATTTTAAACTATATAATATATTATTATCGTCAACTATATTCATTCTACACTGCTATAGAATACTAGAATGTATTCCTCCTATCAAGCTGTAAATTTGTGTCCTTTAACAAATGTTAATTACCCTAATTTGATCACTATACATGATATACATCAAAACATCACTATGGAGTCCATAAATATTTATAATTATTATGTGTCAATTTTAAAAATGGTGAAAATGGTAAAGATAGATAAATACATAAATGTGCATCTCAAATAGATTATCTTCTGATGCACTACCTTATTTATTTTTATTTAAAAAAATAAAAACACTAAACTCCCCAAAGTATACAATACAAAGTAAATAGATGGGGGCAGGTAGAGTAATTTTTTAAAAAGTGTGGTAGCTGCCACAAGGGAAGATATATAGATCAATAGTATAGAATAAAGAACTTAGAAATAAACCTTCACATATATGCTCAAAAGATTTTCAACAAGGATGCCAAGAGTATTAAGTAGGGGAAAGGACAGTCTTCAACAAATAATGTTTGGAAACTGAATAGCCACATGCAAAGAAATGAAGTTGTACCCCTCCCTTGCACCATGTACAAAAATTAACTCAAAATAGATGAAAGACCTAAATGTAAGATCTAAAACTATAGAATTCTTACTCGAGACCAGCCTGGCCAACATGGTGGAACCCCGTCTCTACTAAAAATACAAAAATTAGCCAGGCATGGTGGTGCACACCTGTAATCCTAGCTACTCGGGAGGCTGAGGCACGAAAATCGCCTGAACCTGGGAGGCAGTGGTTGCAGTGAGCCGAGATTGCACCACTGCACTCCAGCCTGGGTGACAGAGTGAGACTCTGTCTTGAAAAAATAAATAAATATAAATAAATAGATAAAACTATAGAACTCTAAGAATGAAACATAGATAAAAATATTAAAAACATTAAATTTGTCAGTAATTTTTTGAATGTGATACCAAAAGTAGAGGCAACAAAAAATCAAATAGATAAAATGGACTTAATGAAAATTAAAAACTTGTGTATCAAAAGAAACTATTAAGAGAATAAAAAAGCAACCCATATATTGGGAGAAGATATTTGCAAGTCACATAACTGATAAAGGATTAATATCCAGAATATATGAAGAACTCCTAAAACTCTACAACAATGGAACAAATAACCCAATTCAAAAATAGTCAAAGACTCAAATAGACATTTCTCCAATAAAGATGTACAAACGGACAATAAGCACATGAAAAGATATTCAACATCAGGAATTGCTAATTAAATGCAAATTAATATCATAATGAGACCACTTTATACCCATAGGCATATCCAAAAAAAAAAATACAAAATAATAAATGTTAGCCAAAATGTGGATAAATCAGTAAACTTGTGCATTGATGATAGGAATATAAAATAGTTCAGACACTATGGAAGACAGTAGAGCAATTTATCAAAAGTTAAACATAGAACAGCCATATAATCCAGGTCCATACCCAAAATAATTGAGCAAAGACTTGAATAGATATTTGCAAACCAATGTTTATAGCAGCATTATTCACAACAGCCATAGGTGAAAACAATCCAAATGTCCATCAGTCAATAAAAGGATAAACAAACTGTGGTGTATACATATAATGAAATATTATTGATTCTTTTTAAAAAATGAAAATTCTAGTACATGAATCTTGAAAGCATTATGCTAAGTCAAATAAGCTGGGTTAGAAGAGCAAGTATTGTAGGTTTACACTTATGGAGGTATCTAGAATGAGTAGACAAATTCATAGATACTAACAGTAAAATGATGGTTATCAAGGCCTAGGGGGGAGGTGGGAATGGGGAGTTAGTGTTTAATAGTGTCAACTTTTAAAAACTCAGAATTTATAATTTTAGAAAAGGAGAGGAGACTTATTTCTTGTAAAGGGTTACAGGGGGCAAGGTGGCCACCCCACAAGCTGAGAAATGTGCTTCCAGCCAAGATCAGAGACAGGCACTTAGAAGGAGCAGAGTTTGGGGTAGGAGCTTTATGCTGGACACAGTGGCTAAACATATATATTCAATAGGTTACAGGGAGAGCAAGCTATGAATATTCATGAAGGGGGTCCTGACACACATTTTGAACAAACGTGTGTAACATACCATGCATGTTCACTTTGGGGTGGAGGCCTAAAATATGATGTGTTACAGTTAAGCTCTCTACATCAAAAGGTCCTTTCAGGACACAAAGGCCTGTGAATGCCTCTGTAAACCAGCCCAGAACCACTCCATGGTCAGTGGTCTTTTACCAGGAGAAAGTTGATGAAATCAGTCGCTTATCCAATGAAAGCTGTAGTTAAGGCTGGTGGAAAAGGGAGTCAGTTAATCAAATGTCTGTGAACTGAGTCAGTTAGTCAAATGTCTGCGAACTGGGTGAGTTGTAATTGTTTTAATCTTGCTTCTCTCAAGGACAGTAGTTATTTAGGTGCTAGAGATAAAGAAAAACCTCGTGGCAGTTAGGGACATAGTTTATTTTTTAAGTGTAGTTGTGACTTCACCCTTGCCTGGCATGGCCTGAGGTCCTGTTTATAATTCAGTGTCTTATTGCCAGGAAGAGTCTGTTCAGTCAGTCTCATGAACTCTATTTTAACACTAAGGCTGGTTATGCCTACACCATAAAAAAGGAGGAGGTTATGCCTATGGTTTAGGCATAACCATAAAGAGGTGCATCTGACCGCCCATCCCACTGTGGCTGGGAACTCAGTTTTAAGGATGTTGGGGGTCCCCTTGGGCAAGCTGGGGTCTGTTCAGTTGGTGGGGCCTCAGGACTTATTTTTAGTTTACAATAGGTACAAAGTTTCAGTCTGGAAGGATGGAGAAGTTCTAAAAATGAATAGTAGTGGGTCAAATGGTATTTCCAGTTCTAGATCCCTGAGGAATCGCCACACTGACTTCCACAATGGTTGAACTAGTTTACAGTCCCACCAACAGTGTAGGGATTATAAATCATGCTGCTATAAAGACACATGCACACGTATGTTTATTGCGACACTATTCACAATAGCAAAGACTTGGAACCAACCCAAATGTCCAACAACGATAGACTGGATTAAGAAAATGTGGCACATATATGCCATGCAATACTAAGCAGCCATAAAAAATGATGAGTTAATGTCCTTTGTAGGGACATGGATGAAGCTGGAAACCATCATTCTCAGCAAACTATAGCAAGGACAAAAAACCAAACACCGCATGTTCTCACTCATAGGTGGGAATTGAACAATGAGAACACATGGACACAGGAAGGGGAACATCACACACCGGGGCCTGTTGTGGGGTCGGGGGAGTGGGGAGGGATAGCATCAGGAGATATACCTAATGTTAAATGACGAATTAATGGGTGCAGCACACCAACATGACACATGTATACATATGTAACTAACCTGCACGTTGTGCACATGTACCCTAGAACTTAAAGTATAATAAAAAAAAAATGAATAGTTGTGATGGGTGCACATCATGAACATACTTAATTTCAATAAATTGTACACTGAAAATGTTTACATGGTAAATTATAGATTATGTATATTTTACCACAATTAATAAAATAAGCTATTGTGCAAAAACAAGAAAAGTCTAAGAAACTGATATCAGTTGATATGAACTAAGGAGATGAACTAAGGAGACGTGACAACCGAAGGTGGTGTGATATTCCCATGATACCCTGGAAGAGAAAAATGACAGTACTTAAACAACTAAAGAGATCTGAATAAAGTATGAACTTAAATGGAAAATATATCAATATTTGCTTATTAATTATGAAAAATGTGCCATGCTAATATGTTAATTATAGGGGACAGTTGGTGTGGGTTATATGAGAACTCTCTGTACTATTTTTGCCACCTTTCAGTGAATCTAAAACTACTCAATAGTTCAATTTAAAAGGCATGGAAAAAACTAAATAAGAGGTGAAGCAAATACAAATATCATGGAAGTCAATCTCGTTCTGAAAAAACACCTGACGTTTTATGAAAATGACTTCTGCTATTTGTAAAGAAAATTTTGTAAAAGACACATGAGGCAACTTTACAACAAAAACAAAAAAAACCTTCTTTCTTAGTAGCATAATTTGAATTATTGTTATAAGTAGTAAATAACAATTTAAGAAATCATAAAATCAGATTATGGAAACGATTTGTATGCAAGTAGCTAGGCAGCATGCAGGAAAAAAAAATACAGATAAAGATCATTCAAAGGAAGATGGACAAAATGGAAGACAAGGTGCAAAGATTAAATTTCTGAAACAGAGGAGGCAATAAACAAAGTTTAAAAATAATAAGAGGCCAGGAACGGTGGTTCTCGCCTGTAATCTAAGGACTTTGGGAGCCGAGGTGGGCCAATTGCTTGAGCTCACGAATTCAAGACCAGCCTGGGTAACATGGGAAACCCCGTCTCTATAAAAAAAATACAAAAATTACCCAGGCGTGGTGGTGTGCACCTGTAGTCTCAGCTACACTCTAGCCTGGGTAGACGCAGCTTTGGTCTCAGAAAAAAAAAAAAAATACTAAGAAAGTACATAATTGAAAATAATAATAATTTCAAATTTAACCATTCTACAAGCAGTTACACTTTTAACTGTATACCAAAGAAAAGCTTTTCACGAAGTGAGGAAGGAGTTAAAGCAGTTAGGTTCTGATCTATTCATTCCTTTTACTGAAGAACTTTCCTAGGGGTGAGGGAGTGAGGGCAGAGGGCAAGTGAACTGCTCTGATATTGCCAGTTGGAATAATTACATTTGCTAGTACAAAAATATCTTATACTGAGAAAAACCATGGCAAGATATCCATAGCTAAAGAAAAACTACGGCAAATAAACTCAGAATCCATGGTTTTCTGAGGCAAGTTTTCCTATAAAATGTCACATTTCTTTAAAACTAAAGTATGTCTTGTATATAGCGTATGCATGTACTTCAGTTTGTGTCCAGTTTTAAGTCTGTCTTTTGATCAAAGCATTTATTTCACTTAAATTTAATGTTAAGTATTGATATGATTGGATTTACTTCTGGGATATTTTTGCTGTTTTCTATTTGTCTCATTGACTTTTTTGTTCTGTTTATCTTTTACTGCCTTGTTTTGTGTTAAGAGAGAGATTTCAACGCAATTTTAAATTACTTTTTAAACCATTTCTAAAATGTATTTTCTTAGTCATATGTGGGTACAGTTGGTGGCTCCCCAAAACAACTACAGACATACCTTGTTTGATCATGTCTGGCTTTATTGCAACTCACGGATATTACATTTCTTACATACCGGAGATTTGTGGCAACCCCTGCATCCAGCAAGCCTATCAGCGTCACCTGTTTCAACAGCATCTATTCACTTTGTGTCTCTGTGGCACCAGTTTTTAGCAATAAAATATTTTTAATTATTAAGGTATACACATTGTTTTTAAGACATAATACTGTTGCACACTTTGTAGACTATAGTTTAGTGCAAACATAACTTTTATATGAACTGAAAAACTAAAAAAGTTTACTTTGCTCTGGTGGTCTGGAACTAAACCTGCAATATCTCCCAGGTGTGCCTGTATACACACACACACATATGTGCAATTTTATATTCATCCACATATTGCCACTTCTGATCATATTTATTTATTTCTTGTATGTTTGAGTTAACGTCTGACATCATTTTCTTTAAGCCCCCAGAACTTCCTTTAGTATTTTATATAGAGCAGGTTAGCTAGCAATAGATTTTCTCAACTTTTGTCTCTCTAGGAATGCATTTAATTTCTTTTTCACTTTTTTATTGTTGCAAAACATACATTATATAAAATGTGCCATTTTAACCATAGAGATGTACAGTTCAGGGGCACTAAATACATTCATGATGCATGGCAACCATCACCAGTATTTCCAGAACTTTTTTATCATCTCAAACAGAAACTCTATAGCCATTAAATAACTCCCCTTTACGGCTCTTCCACGCCCTTGGTAAATCTCTATGCAATTACTTTCTATCTCAATGATTTTGCAAATTCCAGGTACTTTGGCTTTGAAGATAAGTCTAATTTAAGCCTATGCTTTAATTGAGTTGTCTCTTACTGACAAGTTTTAAGAGTTCTTTATATATTCTGGATATCAATCCCTTATCATATGTATGATCAGCAAATATTTGCTCCCATTCTGTGGGTTGTATTTTTACTCACTTGACAATGTCCTTGAATACTCAAATATTTTAAACTCAATTAAATCCAATTTATCTATTTGATCTCTTGTTGATCTTTTTTTTGCCTATGTTTTTGGTGTCATATCTAAAAATCATAGCCAGATTCAATGTCATAGTTTCTTTCCTATATTTCTTTCTAAAAGTTGCTGAGTTTTAAGTTTTATGTTTAGGTTTTGGATCCATTGTGAGTTAATCTTTGTACATGATGTAAGGTACAGGTCCAACTGCATTCTTTTGAATGTAGTTATCCAGTTTTCCCAGCACCACCTGCTGAAGAGACTGCCCTTTCCCTCATTGAATGGTCTTGGCACTCTCGTCAAGTAGCAATTGAATTTGTACGTAAAGATTGATTCTATTCTATTCTATTCTATTCTATTCTATTCTATTCTATTCTATTCTATTCTACTCTACTCTACTCTACTCTACTCTACTCTACTCTACTCTACTCTACTCTATTCTATTCTATTCTATTCTATTCTATTCTATTGGTCTGTGTGTCTGTCCTTGTACCAGTATCACAAAGTATTGATTCCTGAAGCTTTATAATAAGTTTTGAAATTGGTACCTTGTGAATCCTCCAACTTCTTTACTTTTCAAGACTGTGTTGGCTATTTGGAGTCCCCAAAGTTTTCATCTGTATTTAGGATGGGTTTCTCTCTTTCCAAAGAAAACAGAATTTTGATTTTTAAAGAGATTGCATTGAATCTGTAAATCTCTTCAATTAACACTGTCACCAAAAAATATTGTCTTCCTCTCCATGAATATGGAGTGACTTTCCATTTCTTTATGTTCTCTTAATAACTATTAACAATGTTTTGTAGTTTCCATTGTGCAAGTATTTACCTCCTTGATTAAATTTATTTCATATTATTATTTTTGATGCTATTGTAAATTGAATAGATTTTTAAATTTTCTATTAAGGTTGTTCATTGTTAGTGCATAGAAAAGCAACTAACTTTTATGAGTTGATTTTTTGCTTCCTGCAATTAATCCTGCTGAATTCACTTAGTAGCATCAACGTGTGTGTGTGCGTGTGTGTGTCTGTGTGTGTGTAATATTTAGGGTTTTCTATATATAAGATCATACCATCTGAGAACAGAGATAATTTTACTTCTTTTCCAATCTGGGTGCCTTTTTTTTTTTTTTTTGCCTAATCTCTCTGAATAGATCTTTCAATACTATGCCGAATAAAAGTGTTAAAGTGGGGATTCTTGTCTTGTCTTAATCTTAGTGGAAATACTTTCAGTTTGTCACTATGGAGTATAATACTGGTCATGAGACTTACATATGTGGTCTTTATCCTGATGGAGAATTTTATTCTATCCCTGGTTTGTTGGATGTTTTATGATAAAAGGATGTTAAATTTTGTCAGATGCTTTTTCTACTTTGAGATAATCATGTGAGGTTTTTCCCTCTTTATTCTATTAATGTGGTGTATTACATCAATTGATTTTCATATCTCAAAATATCCTTGATAATTGATCATGGTGTGAAATTCTCTTAATGTTTCTTAATTCTATTTACTAATGTTTTGTTGAGGATTTTTACATCAATATTCATAAGAATATTGGTTTGTAGTTTTCTTTTCTTGTATTTTCTATGTCTGACTTTAGTATCTGGGAATTTTGCCTCATAAAATGAGTTGTGAGTATTCTCTCCTTGACTATTTTTTAACGTTTGTGTAACACTGGTATTAATTTTTCCTCAAATATTCAATGTACTCCAACATTGAGGCCAACTGTGTCTGCAATATTCTTTGTCAAAGGTTTTTGATGAGTAATTAGAATTATATAACAAGAAAAGTTGTATTAACAGGTTTCTCCATCTTGGTACAATTGATGCTTGGGGCTGAATAATTCTTTTTTGTGTAGAGCTGTCCTATTTATTACAGGATTGAATGGTGTTTAGGAACATCCTTGGCCTCTACTCACCAGATGCCAATAGCACCCTTTCCCCCTGAGTTGCGACACAAAAAGGCCTCTAGACATTGTCAGTGGATCCCAGAGAAAGCTAACATATCTGATTGAGATTGACTGATGTGTTAGGAATTTTTCCTATTCCTTGTGACAGATTTGGAAATTTGTATGTTTCAAGAAATTCAAATACCGCATGTTCTCACTTATAAGTGGGAGTTAAATGATGAAAACACATGAACACTGGTGGGGAACAACACTCTCTGGGGCCTGTTGGAGGACAGGGGGTGGGAGAAGGGAGAGGATCAGGAAGAATAGCTAATGTGTGATGGGCTTCATACCTGGGTGATAAGACGGTCTGTGCAGCCAACCACTATGGCACCTGTCTACCTGTCTAACAAACCTGCACATCCCGCACATGTACCCCTGAACTTAAAAGTCGAAAAATTTTTAAAAATTTGTTAATTTCTTCAAACTGTCAAATGTATTTGTTTATAACATTCCGTTATCTGTTTTTATGGCCGTAGAGTCTATAGTAATGTTAATTGATGATATTTATTGTGATTTTGCACGCACTCTCTCTCTAATTAATCTATCTAGTCTAACTGGAAATCTTTCAATTTTATTAGTTGTTTCAAAAAACCAAATTTGTATTTTGGTGGTTTTTCTCTACTGCTTGTCAATTTTCTACTTCAGTGATTTCTGCTCATGTCTTTACTATTTTCTTTCTATTAACTTTGGTTTTAATTTTCTTTTCCTTTTCTAACTTCTCAAAGTGGAATCTGATATTCTTAATTTTTTAATATAAGCATAAATTTTCTTTCAATTACTGCTTTAGCTGCAGCCCTCAAATTTTAATATATTATGTTTTTGTGGCTTCTCTGTTAAAATATTTGCTATTTTCTCTTCTGATTTCTTTCTCTTACGAGGTATTTAGAAGTGCTTAATTTTAAGTATTTTAGCATTCTCCAGATATCTTTTTATTTCTTTATATTTTAATTACATTGTAGCCAGATAATATGTGTGTATAATATCAGTTCTTGGAATTTATTGGTACACATTATATGGCCCAGCATATGATCTACCCTGATTTAATGGATCCGAGTACACTTGAATATAGTGTGTCATGTGCAATATTAGGTATATTGTTCCTTAACGGTTAAATTAAGTGATTGGCAATAACATATAAATATTATATACCTTTATTACTATGAGGGTATTAAAATCTCCATCTATAACTATGGATTTGATTTGTCTTGTTCTCACTTTAGAATTGTTTTTGTTTGATGTATCTTGAAACTTTGTATGTATATGGAATATTATATTGTCATTTGTTCTTAAAACATTTCCTCTCAATTTCTTTATCCTCTTAAACTGAGAGCCAATCGGACACAGGCTAGACCATGCTGAATGTACATTGATTTCCACATGTGCCTTGAAAACTTTGTGCTTTGGTATATATACCATGAGTAATATATAATTTTTTATCATTGTATGTGTATTTCCAACTTTTTCCCTTTTGAAAGAAAGCATTAAAAATAAATACTGTGGGCTAGAAGTGGTGGCTCACACCTGTAATCTCAGCACTTCGGGAGGCCAAGTCAGGTGGATTGCTTTAGCTCAAGAGTTTGAGACTGTCCTGGGCAACATGGTGAAACCTCATCTGTACTGAAAATATGAAAAATAGCCAGGTGTGGTGGCACACGCCTGTAGTTCCAGCTACTCAGGAGGCTGAGGCAGGAGGATTTCTTGAGACCAGGAGGTGGAGGTTGCAGTGAGCCACGATCATATACTTCAGACTGGGTGACAGAGTGAGACCCTGTATCAAAAATAAATAAATGCTGTGTATTATTACATATGTATATATATGCTATTGATCTGACATAGGTACTCACTCAGTTTTGGTTAGTGGAAGAATACTTGCACTTACAGTTTTGCTAGTAGAATCTGTTTGCAGTTTTAAAAACTCTTCACCATGTTAAATTCCCAAAAAGTGTATATGAAGGTATCCATTGTCTCACACGACCAACAGTATTTGATAATATCAATCTAATTTGTTAGCTGTTGGGTGAAAAAACACAGGATCTCATCATTATTTAAATTTGTATCCCCTAGCTACAAACACTCTTAAAATTGTATTTATATTAACTCTCTAAATTGTATGCTTATATTTCTTGCCTATTTTTCAATATTTTTTCTTTTAGATTTGAAGTTTCCCTATGCATGTCATAATTGTTTTTATTATTTAACTTTTTATACCTTGCAAGTACTGTTTCCAATACTGTTTCCAAGATTTATGGGCTTATTCCCAATCCAATAACCTTGGATTATTATATCATTTCCTATATGGAAGTTGTTTTTGCTTTGCTATTTATGTGGTCCACCTAGGGAGGTAGTGTAGATGAATGGCTAAGGAAAAAGCTCTAGAGTCAGATTATGTGTCTCCAAATCTCAATATCCTTATCTAAGTTGAGGAAACGTTAAGATAACATATCAGAGAAAATTTTCCTGTTAGTATGAGAGTAGGTATTCTTAAGCAAGACACAAAACCTAGATTCTATTAAAAAACAAAAAGCAGTGAAAAGAATATAAATCATTTTACAATAAAGACACATGCATGTGTATTTTCATTGCAGCACTATTTACAATAGCAAAGACATGGAATCAACCTAAATGCCCATCAACAGTAGACAGGATAAAGAAAATGTGGCACATATACACCATAGAATACTACTCAGCCATAAAAAAAAGAATGAGATTCTATCCATTGTGGCAACATGGATGGAGCTGGAGGCCCTTATCCTAAGCAAACTAAAACAGGAACAGAAAACCAAATATCACATGTTCTCATGCACAAGTGGGAGCTAAACATTGAGTACTTATGAACACAAAGAAGAGAGCAACAGACACCAGGACCTACTCGAGTGTGGAGGAAGGGAGAAGAGGGAGGATCAAAAAACTACCTATTGAGTGCTATGCTTATTACCTGAGTGACAAAATAATCTGTATACCAGACCCCATAACATGCAATTTACCTACATAACAAATCTGCAAATGTACCCTGAGCCTAAAATAAAAGTTAAAATTTTTAAATTAAAAAAAAATAGCGAAATCTTACTATATTTTGGAGGCACTACAAGGCTCAAACCACTTAACCCTCCTAAAACCCTGAGGTATAGAATGATCTCCATTTCGCAGATCAATGTTTTTCTAATGCTTTTTTACATTTTTACAAACTAATTTTATGTGGCTTGGTCTAAATTATTTTAATCCAAAAGATAGCTGATATTCCCAACAACATTTATTACAGTTCTTCCTTTCCCCACTAATTTAAGTGACCCTTTGTCATAATTCGATCAATTTTAGTGCTATCAACAATTTCTATTGACCTTTCTATTTATTCTTGTGCTAATATCTTATTCATTTAATTGCTCTAGCTTTAGAGTATATTTTTAATCTTTTGGAACATGTCCAAAGTTTTTATTTTTCCCTCTTTTTTAAAACAACTGTCATGTTTTTTTTTTTTCCAAATGAAAGTTGGAATTTGTTCCGTTACATTAAAATATTTCTGTTAGAATTTCCATTTGGGATTGGCTATATTTATAGAATATCTGGAGAATCAAAATTTTTACAATTTTTCTATTTTGTAAGAAGCATGTCTCCAAATTAATATATTTAAATGATGCCCTTCAAAGTAATGCATGGATTTCATTATACCTCCTTTGAGCATTTCTTATCAAGTTTATTAACAAGTATTTTGTAGCTTGTTTTGCTCTAGTTATTCAGATCCTTCCTACCCAAATTTTCTACTTAGTTAAGAAATTGACTTTTAAATTTTGAATTCTATTGGGACTCTTCACTGATATCTCTTATTCTAGTAGGTTTTTAGTGGTTCCTTTGAGGATTTCTAGGTAGTTTGTCATATGGTCCAAAATAATAACAGTGTGTCTTTTTTATTTTAATTTTCATATCAAAGTTTTTCTTTTTCTCTTATCATACTGCTTTGGCCAGGATACTCACTACAATGTTGAATAGCACTAGTGACAATAATGCCTTGTCTTTCACCTTTTTTATTTGAAGAATATTTTAAAATTTCACTTTACATATGATTCTGATGCAAATTTTTAATCGCAATTTTATTCAGGATGTTTAGTTCTATTTTCACCATGTTAAGAACATTCAACTTGGAGGCAAATTAAATTTATCAAATAGTGTTTATGTATCTATTAATGTTGATTTATCTTTTAACTTTCTGTAACTTGAATTGCTTTTGTATTTCTAGCATAAAATTGTAAATTCTTAATTAAACCATACGTTTAATATTTGTAACTTTTTATTATATCACTTCTATTCGGTGTTCATGGTTAGAGAAAATAGTAGCCATATCCCAGAAATGCACACACACACACAGACACACACAGCCAAAATAATTTTTAAATTTATCTTTTTCATCAATTTACTCTTTGTTACTTTCTTCCTGTTTCTTATTTTATTTTTGCATAAATAGAAAACTAAGCAAATTTGCTGAGTTGTGTAACATAAACTTTTAAAAGCTATCTTCAGATACCTCTGGATAATATTTTTGGTTCTCTGGTGTTGCTATTTTTCATTAGATGAAATAATTTTGTTTTTGAAAGTGATATTTCAAGGCATTTCAAATTGTATTTAGGAATAAAGAATTTTTACTGAAAAATATATGGGTTTGTTTATTCCTTTTGTTATTTCCTCTCTTCCTTCTTCCTTTCCTTCCTCCTCGTTTCTTCTTTTTTTTCGCTGCTTCCTTCTTTTATTTATTTTCCTACAGTAATGGTGAATTTGCCTTAAATTGACCACATTGTATTCTCTAGTCCCTATTTTAGCTAGTGTAATGCATTCTCATGATGGATAGACAGGAAAATGCACAGTCTGTGACAATGGAAGATAGTACAACCAAGGGGCTCGTGGGGATCAATGGAACAAAAGCAGTTTATAAGCATCTAAGCTAAGCAGCCAAGAAAAGGCATATTGTTCTGAACACAAGCTATATCTTCACTAAACAAAATGTAATGACATGCTACTATGTATCAGGCTCTATGCTAGGTTCTAAGGAAAAAAAGGAGATCAAGACCCGGGCCATGCGCCTCCTCAGAGAACTAACAGTTTTTTAGGAGGGCACACATGAAATCAGAGATTTATTACAATGGAGAAAACTTTAGATGTATGTAGAAAATGACTGGTAGATAATGAAAGATGACGCTAATGCAACCTGCGGAGTTTAGGACATGGTCCACAGTGTGCTGGATATTTACTCCAAGTCAGATATAATTCTGTTTACTACAGTTGTGTGAAAGCAATTATGTGTATTTCACATTTTATTCCTATTAAATTACTAAGTGCATTGCTTAGTCACTTAGTTATTTAAGTTAGGACATTTGCCCTTAAATGCACAGGTATTCATTTCTTTACTATTCATCTTCTGATAACTCACTCATTAAGGCAGGCCACTCATTCAGTCAAAATACAATGCCCACCTACTACGTGTCATTATTGGACTCAGAAGCCAATTTGACTGAGTCCTTGACCTCATGAAATTTACTCTCTAGTGGGACAGACAAAGATTAATCAAAATCTCTCAAATAAGTGTGTGATCAAAGGACAGAAGGACAGATTTATGTGCAACCTAAACATTTAGTGATTAATTATACAGTGCTGGGTATAAGCATGGGAGCATTGAGGGCCCTTGGGAAGGAAGAAGCCCAGAAAGTGATAATTGAGTTGAGAACTCAAGAATATTTGGGTCAAGAGACAGAGGTAAAGGGCTCCAGACAGAGGGCTCGGTGTGAGTGCAGGCCCTGTGGGAGGGAGCATGGTGCTTCTGAGGCTAAGAAAAAGGTAGAGACTTTAAGGGAGGCGTGTGCATAATTAATGAGAGCTGTTGCTCTCTGGGTCTTGTAGGCCCTTTTAAGGATTTCCTTCCTTAGAGAAATGGGGAACTCTGAAGGGCATTGAATGTGGGAGAAAATAATTGATTTCCAGGTGGCTGTAATGTAGCAAATGGACTCAATGTTTTCAGCTCTTCCAGCATCTCTATAGCAATTTCCCTATATTCAATTCCCTCCTTTAACCTTCACAGTATGAATACTGACCCTGACAGTACATACAGTATATCACATTTATTCAGTATTTTCTATCTGCCAGGCATTTTCTTAAGGGCTTTACATATATTATTTCATTTTTCCAACAATCTTTTAGATTTGTATCTATTTATGTCCTCATAGCACAGACGTGGGACCTCAGGTACAAAAAAATTAAGTAATTTGCCTAAGGTCACAGATCTGTAAGATTTGTATACTAATTTGGATTTCTGGCACTATTATCTTTGTTTCCAGTATGTTGTTTTGATCTTTTTCTAATATTTCAATAGTTCTGCTGCTTGTTTTCTCAAATTCTATCATAAGTAAATGGAGTTAAAATATGAAATATGTAAACATTTCAAATTCAATGAGGTTGATATTTCAGACATTCTATGTTATATGCGATTTCTGAATTTTCCTAATTGGTTTAGAATAAAAATATGATAGAAAGGCAACGATGTTGTGAGGAATACAATTTTATTTGCATATTTATTTAAATGAGATATTTGAATATTTTACATGCATTTAAGCTTAAAGCACCTTTGGTGAATCATTTTTCTCTCAGAAATAACTTGATAGGTTTGCGAATCTCAAAACGGTGAGATGTTCACACGTTTATTACCTTTTATTTCATATATATTTAGAGTGTCAGTAGGTAAGATAGGTTTGTGTCAGATTCAGTGTTACCATAATAAGGGGATTCTATTTAAAATGTTGCATATGCATGCACGATATTACTGGCTATATATAACAGATATATGTGTAACAGTTACATGCTTGTAAATGTTATTTAAATGAAGACTTTTAATCTACACTATTTAAATAAAGTTTATTTCTACTAACCTTACATAGAGAAAAAAATTCAAAACACCAAACAATATGGTATTCAAAATATAGAACTACTAGTTAAATGCAGATTAATTTTTTAACAAGAATTCCTATGCAGTAGGCAGATAGTTCCCACATCCCATTGTGATTGACAAGCCTGACATATGGAATAGTTCACAAATTCCCAGGTGACTGACAGATGGAGAATAGAAAGGCGGATAAAGTTGCCTAGAGAGCTGAGGATGATTTCATATTCAGCGGTTTTGATCAAAAGGATTCCAGATCTCACACTAAATTTAGCACCGCTGGCAATTAGTGCATGATTTATTCAGTCCTTTCATTTGCTGGTTGACAAATGGAAAACAAGCACAAAATTAAAAATAAGTTTATTTCCAGCATTTCGGATATTTAAAATGTGTGTGTCTTTGTTTGCACATAAATTAACATGAGATGAATTTATAGTGAGATTAAATCTGAAATGGAGATGCAAGCAATAAATAAGAGCTTTTTTATGTATCGTACGGGCAGAACAGGTGTTTGAATTAAGAAATACTAATATGTTTAGCAGCACGGCTCCACCTTTAGCATTAGGGAGTTGATGCTTTCCTGAATTTAGAATAATCTTTTCGCAATTTAGAGTTCTTTCATAAGCTTCCAACATAGGTGACCATCTGTATGACAATATTAATGCTTTTCAGTCTAGTAATAGTATAAAAATAAAAACAACTCCCTGTCACCAGGCTTTTCTGCATTACAATGAGTCACAGAAAGGCTACAGGCTTCTTTCCCTGTTTCTGCCTCTTGGGTGTCCATGGTGAACAGGCAGCAGAAACCCAAATCTGTCCCCTCTCATGCATTTTTAAATGGGGTTACAAGATTTCAACCTTTTCTATACTATCCTTCCAGCTAGACCATGTGTAAAGCTCTGTTTCCAGTTTCTCTTCCTATTTCATGGAACGACAATGAGAGGAGCAAGCTATGCTGATGTCAACTTTCTGTCGTGTTATTCAGAATCAGAACACAACAAAATCACATCCACAATTGCAGGAGAGCATAGCTGAAAATTGTCCCTCCTAGGGATCCAGAGAGGCAGGGACATTTTTAAGCACATTGACTGAAAGTGTAGAAAATGAATTGAGCAAAAGCCCCATTCTTTCAGTGATGGGAAAAAAAAAAAAAACCAATTATCATATCTGAAAGACCTTGTGATTTCTGAGTAGGTGTGTCTGTCTATCTCCTTTTTAGAAATCTTCTTGGCACTGTCTAATATAGCTGCTTAGAAAGATGAATGAATTTCTGGAAAGACGGTGGAAGCTGGAAGGATGTCTCAGAGTGTGAGGTGCCTTATCATTGTTAATGGAACAGAAGTGGCCCGTTGAGGTAGCTTGACATCAAAAGCAAACCAGGGCAACCATTTATGAAATGTTGGGCTGGCAGCAAAGCACCTGAGACTTAGGGATTGTGGGGGCAGATGTTTGGGATACTTACAGGTTTTCTTATTTGATTTGTATTCCAGGTCTGACATTCAACTTTATTTGTATTCATTATTCACAGTGGGAACTAGAATGGTTTTTAAAATAGCATAAAATCCACTTAAATTATAATGGAAAGAATTGTGTGCAATGTGATGCTTTAATTACTGTTAGGCTAACCTTGGGATATGGAAAATGTCAATTTTCATTGGCCACATGAAGGCTGAGCCCAGGTTTTAGCCCGCAGATATGTGCAGGGAGTAGGGGAGCAGCTCATGGGGACAGCCTGCCTGAGGAGTCCCCACAGTGCTTCAAATCTGCTTTGCCTTCTCCCCACACACCCTGGGGCACCATCACCGTTTCATTAGTATTTTCTTCCTCTTCTGCAATACCCTCACTGGTTCTCAGCAGCAGCCCAAAGACATTTCCCAGGCAAATGGCTTCAGGTCGGTTATGTTACTTCTTTTTTTTTAGGAGACCCTCCCTGGGTGGGTATGTCCTGGGTTTTCCACCCACCAAGACTGGGAACAGGGAAGCAGTGATGAGCTGGGACAGATCTTAAGACTCCTCTCTCTGTCAATCTATTCTTCTATTACTACTTGAAACCAGTAGCCCAAATACCATGCTATCTCCCCTGTGTCTTCTGCATGCATAAATTATTTCATCTGTAAACAAGCATTATCGGTTTTGAGCTTCTGGTTCTCTAAGAGCATGAGAACACCTTCCAAAGTAAGAGGCCATCATTCTGATTACCCTACTCTACTGAAGAGTCCGTCTCTGTTCTTTCAAGACCTGCCGTGGTGGTTAGGTATATGGTATGAAATCAACTGGACCCGAAATTCTTCTCAATTAAAAGGAGATTTTTAATTTCAATTTACCCAACTATGTGCAAATGTAAGCCATATATGAACTGAGAGAAACAGAGACTAAACTTTTTTCTTAAGTCATGCTCCTAGAGAGTATGCAGCTTAAACCTCTACATTACAGCCTGGAGGCAAGTTATGCATATATACATGCACACACAGATAAACATATTTATATAGACACTTCCATTTTTATTTATTTTACCCAAAAATATACTCTCTGAAAATAATAAGTGTTTAACAATTTGGGAAATAACTACATTCTAAAATACACGTTGCCTTTCCTTCAGTGTGCCATTTATTTTTCCTAATTAATCTGTTGAACTGAATGAAACTGTTCATAGTTGTCACGTTTAAGGTATAAAATTTACAACGTCATATGGTTCAACTTAGTAAAATCACAGTATTAGATGGGAGAAAGGTGGTTACATCCCCATTCCACTATTGGAGAGAAAAGAAAGAAGGCAATACTTTCTAATACCGTATTAGTTACGCATAGAACTATAAAAAGAATCTATTTCAACTGACTCACAAGATTTTTTCCTGTTGCATACTTTCTCATCATGCTAAAAACCTGTAACAAATATAAATGTTTTATTTATTTATTTATTTATTTATTTATTCATTTATTTTTGAGACAAGGTCTCACTTTGTCACCCAGGCTGGAGTGCAGTGGCAGGATCTCGGCTCACTGCAGCCTTGACCTCCCAGGTTCAAGTGATCCTCTTGCCTCGGCCCTCCAAGTAGTTGGGACCACAGGCCCACACCACCATGCCCAGCTAATTTTTCTGTATTTTTTGTAAAGACGGGGTTTCACCATGTTGCCCAGGCTGGTCTCAAACTCTTGAGCTCATGCAACCCGTCTCGGCCTCCCAAAGTGCTAGGATTACAAGCGTAAGCCACCTCACCTGGCCTAAATGTTTAATGTTTTAATTTGCTATATATTACCTATATGCACTGTGATACTGTAACATCGTAAGAAGAAGGAAAGGGAAAAATGTAACACTCTCTGAATGACACCTGTGTGCCAGACACTCAGCTTGGGGTTTTAGCAAAACATTAACTATTCTTCTCAGTTTTCTATAGTTCTCTGAATGAAATTTTTAACAAAATCTGAAGTATACGTTTAATCTCAGCATTTGTCTAAATATGTCCACCCAACATGGTCATCTCTCACCACATGAGTCTATTTATATTTATATTTAAATTTATCAAACTCAAATAACTTAAAATGTTAGTTACTTCTGTAATAAAAGAAACATTTCAAGCACTCGATAGCCATATGTGGCTATGGGTTACACCATCAGACAGAGCAGATATAGAAAGTTTTCCTAATCTCAGAGAGTTTTACTAGACAATGGTGGTCTAAGTCAATCTTCCAAAGGATATATTGGTCAACAAAGTTTTCATAACTTCATTAAACCTCTGGCAAGCTGGTGGTCCAGGTCTATTTTTAATTATTTATCATTTCTAGAGAACAAACACTAAAATGACACGTTTCTTAAAACATTATTTACAAAAGAATAAGTGGTAATTTCTTTGAAAGTATGTAACATGAGATACTTAATAAACAAATAACACCCCCCCAACTCTCCCTACTTTTGAACATGATATAGACAGAGTGCATACATGACAGTTGATGTGACACACTCTCTGCTCTCAATCTTAAACAGTTCTTTCGTTTGACTAGTTTCTAAATAACACATCTAGTGCAATCAAAAGTCATCTTTTCTGGGAGGAAAAGAAAAACAAATGTTTCCACAGTGATACAGAGATGCAGAAAACTGTTTGGAAGCAAACATTAAAACAGTATGTGATCAAACATAGGTGATAATTCAAAAATCAGGAAAACTTGGAAGATTTTAATAATAGCTTTATGCTTTCGAATGAACACCTTGCAAATGTCACTGGGCGCGGTGGCTCACAACTGTAATCCCAGCACTTTAGGAGGCAGGCGGATCAACTGAGGTCGGGAGTTCGAGACCAGCCTGACCAAAATGGAGAAACCCCGTCTCTACTAAAAATACAAAAAAATTAGCCAGGTGTGGTGGCACATGCCTGTAATCCAAGCTACTCGGGAGGCTGAGGCTGGAGAATGGCTTGAACCTGGGAGGCGGAGGTTGTGGTGAGCTGAGATTCTGCCATTGCACTCCAGCCTGGGCAACAAGAGCGAAACTCCGTCTCGAAAAAAAAAAAAAAACTTTGCAAATGTCTCTTTGAAATGCAAAGGTTAATAATGTAATCTGAAACACATCAAAGAGATAGATAAGGGAAAACATCTTTTTTACTTTGAGATGAAATTTTGTTTACCTGGTATATGTGCTGGGTAGTTCTGCTGACTAAGCACCTCATGTAAAATTAGGGCACCAAAATTACTGTTGAATGAATGAAACGAGTATCAGGCTGAGGAGTTTTACAGAGTAGGTGTCTTACTGTTTGTTTCAGTTCATGAAGAGTTGAGAATTGTGACCAGTTTTCTGCACACTGAAAACCCTAACAAAAGTTATCTAATCACTATTTACCCTTCATAAGCATACATTTGTTGCTACTAATCCTATTTTTACTCAGATATTTTAATGATATTCCCACAAAATTCTCTGCCTATTCGCCTTGCCATACTCTAAGCAAATATACATACCTCTGTTGCAACAGCCACCAAACATTAACCATATTCCTTGTTCTTTCTTTTCTGAGGAACTTCTTTCTGCCAGTCTGGGTTTTTTTTTTTTTTTTCATCTCAGTCTACTATCCATCATCTGTCTTTCACCTCCCACTGTCTGAAATAAAGCTGAGAATAGACATACATAATGCTTCAACAATTACAGCTGGAAAAAACCTACCAACATGGCTCTCAACAGAAGGGGTGACAAGCCCTGATTTCTCATTTGTCCCCATACGTTTTGATCCAGAAACTAAGAAAAACTTTTCAATTCCCAATTATATTGATCATGGAGGAAAGTCATCTGGTAAATCAATGGTAAATACTGCTAAATTAAATGAAAACATGAGGGATATTTTTCCTCGTTTTTCCTCTTGTTTGAAGATTATTTTATTTCCTTTTGCAATAGGTTAGTTTTGCTGGCAATCCCATGCCATGTTAGAACACTTCATAAATCAGGAGAAAAGATACCAAAATTTTAAAATAAGTTTATCATTCTGTTAGCACTGGCAAATCACATAGTTTCCTTCCAGTTGATTCTAAATATCACTGTTGCTATCCTTATCCCCTACTTTAATGAAATTAACAAAAGACAATTCAAGTAAGTTATTATATGCCTGTCACAAACTGTATCAGAGTTTCATTTTGTGCTCTCCCTAAGCACAAACAAATATCATCATTAAGGAGCATTTACTAGTGATCTAATTTGTAGGGTAATGAGCTAGGAGATGAAGACAAAAAGTTATGTTAAGGTCAGCCTTACAAGGAAAACAGGCGAGCAAGCGAGCGAGAGAGAGAGAGAGAGAGAGAGCAAAAGTGCCAGGAAGAGATGGCCAGATATCAAAGTTTTTAACCATTAGTTCATTCAGGGGGAAAAACCTTTTTTAGAATTAAAAATTAAAGGGTTAAAATATGTAAGCAATACCATCGGGGTGGTTTATGTGAAAGCTACTCACTGTGTTCTTAGAGTAAGATATCTTCTAGCAACAGACTTGGGTTTTCAGAGTTGTCTGAATTCTGGAGAAAGACCTTGGCAAAATGGAGAAAAGAAAAAGAGAATTTGGAGAAAGAGGAGGAGATTACACATCTCTTGTTAGTTGAGATAAGGCTCAGACAGAAAAAAATGATTAATTACTATTATTAAACTCTAAGACCATCGTCTCCATCTCATTTTATTCCTATTTGGTACTTGTTATTCATGCACATCTTTAGAAGGCATATGTCACAAGTCTATACAAAAGCCTCTACTAAATAAACAGATGGGTGGTCAGGGAAGAAATAATATTAGTTGGGGAAATAGACATCACATCTTTCCCACCTTTTGAGACAACTCAAAGGACTAAAATCAAAAATAAAATCTGACAAGAGAAAATATACCCAGAGGGTAGAAGTTATAAAGGAAAGCATTAAGGAATATAAGCAAATAAAAGAAATATAAAAGGATGTGGACATATGTACTATTTGGCATTTAAAAACTGAGTGTTTCTAGGACATAGAAAATGAAACTAAAGCAATGATAAGATTAAGCATTTGTGCACTGTAATATTCAAAATGAGTGAAAATAAAGATATGTTTAGGTGATACCTGTATCCAAATATTTTCAAGGGAGCCAAGGTGAGAAATTCCAAAAATGTCATATATTGTTATATTGGCCAACCTCCATTGTCCCATTAAATAAAAAAGCAATGAAATACTTGACATTGTAAGAAATACATAATTGCTGCGGAACTGTAAATTAAGTCTAACAGAAATCTTTAAAAATAATTACTCTTGCAGAAAGTTAGAGTACATGTAGCTTTCACTATTCCTCCCACTAAGTGTGACTATAAACCTTGAGTATCAAAAGGTGGAGAGAGGAAGGAAGAATGGCTAGGGACTCTGCTATCCAAGAATTGACAAAGTGGAGAGTTACTTGGGCTTTCATTTTGCTTTGTATATCTCTAAATACATATTAGAGAAACCAGCAGCCAGGAAATGCCTAAGAATACAGACAAAAAGGGCACCAAGTAAAGCTTGATCACTCTAACAAAAGGACACAGAGAGGGGCAGCCTAGCAAGACAAAAGAAAACTTTTATTAGACAATAACTGCTCTGCAAGCCTGGTGGAGTATCTCAACTTCTACCTTGAGAGGTTGTAATAAGGTGACCCAATCACACTGTTTGGGTGGCATCTGAGAATGCTGAGTAGGGAGCTGAGACTTTCATTCTTCCAATGTAGTAACAAATCTTCCAACACTCCCCTCACACACCACCCTATGTCAATAGAAACCACATGGACAGTCTAGACTTTTATCTACATACTACTGAAATGTGGTAGGAGGCCTGGTGAAGAGTCAGGATGTCTAAAGCAGTAAAGTGGTAATGAGCCACCCCACACCCCTTAGAAACACACTGCCATTGTTTTAGTTGAGGCCACTGCCATCAACACTAATGAGATGCCCCTCACCACAAATCAACAAAGAGTTACTACATAACCTGGGCTTCCTCTGAACTTCCAACCCAACCTTTCAGTAAAGAGGCTGTGGCTTTTCTCTGGCCCTTCATTCCCTGACATTGAGCAGTGTAACAAAAGAGTTGCTGAAACATGAGATTTAAATATGGTTCAGAGTCTCTCAATGTAATACCTAACATGAATAGGTTTCATCAAAAAACAATCCTCATATCAAAGACCAGGAAGATCCCAACTTTCAATAAGAAAAGAAAATTGACAGATGCCAACATCAAGATGACACAGGTGTTAAAATGTTCTGATAAGAGCTTTAAAAAGCCATTACAAAAATGAAATGAGTAATTACAAACACACTTAAATAAAAATAGAAAGTCTCGGAAATGAAACAGAAAGTCTAAGCAAATAAATAAAAGATATAAAGAAGAATCAAAATGTTAGAACTGAAAAATATAATTAACAACAAATCCTCAATGGATAGGCTCAATAAGAGAATTGAGAGCAATCAGGGACTTATGAGACTATAAAAAAACTTCTAACATTAATGTCAATGGAGTCCAAAAATGAGGAGCAGAGAGTGTAGAGCTGAAACGGTTTTTGAAGTATGACTGAAAATTTCCAAAATTTGCCAAAATTAATAAGCTTACAGATTCAAAAAGCAGAGTAAACCCCAAAGAAGTTAAACCCAAATAATTCCATGTCCAAGACACACCATACTGAAACTTTTAAAATTAAATGGGAGGAGAATAAAGGGACATAAAAAGAGGTAAGATTTTTACACTTCACTTAAAGTGATAAAAAAATTGACACTAGTAGATTGGGATAAAAATATAATATTAATAGCAATCACTAAAAGAGATATATAGAAATATACTTTAAAATTTATACTATATATAAATCAAAATGAAATTCCAAAAATGCTCAACCTATAGGAAGAAACAAAAAAGAAAGCTAGGGGATTAAAACAAAAACAGAGAAGAAACAGAACAAAAAATATATAATGACCAGTTTACACTCTAATCCCTAATTATATTAAATGTAAATGATCTAAATGCACCAATTAAAATACAAAAATCGGTAGCATGGATTTAAATAAACAACCCAATTATATACTGTCTACAAGAAGCTCATTTCCACAATTGTACTTGGGCATTTCAACAAACTTCTCACAACAAGTAAAAGACAACTGTCCAGATAATCAGCAAAAATATAGTACTCAAAATCACGATCCATCAACAGGATCATACTTGTATCCAGTGCCCACAGAATACATCCCAATGAAGACCACATCCTGGGCCATAAAACAAACTTCAACAAATTCAAAGAAATTGAAATCATAAACAGTTTGGTTTTTGACTATAATGGAATCAAACTAGAAATCAATAACAAAAAAAAACAAAAAAGAAAAAGTACCAAGCAATTGGAACTCAAAAAACACACTGCTAAATATTCATGAGTGGAAGAAAAAATTTAAAGGAAAAGCTAAAAGCACATTGAATGCAAGAAAATGAAAATACAACATATTAAAATTTGTAGATGACAGCTCAAGCAGTATTAAAAAAGGAAATTTACAGTACTAAACATTCATATTAGAAAAGAAGAAAAGCCGGGCATGGTGGCTCAGCCTGTAATCCCAGCATTTTGGGAGTCAGAGGCAGGCGGATCACCTGAGGTCAGGAGTTCAAGACCAGCCTGTCCAACATGGCAAAACCCTGTCTCTACTAAAAATGCAAAATTTAGCCAGGCATGGTGGCACATGCCTGCAGTTCCAGCTACTCGGGAGGATGAGGCAAGAGAATGGCTTGAACCCAGGAGGAAGAGCTTACGGTGAACTGATATGGCACCACTGCACTCCAGCCTAGGCAACAGAGCGAGACTGTCTCCAAAAAAAAAAAAAAAAGAGGAAAAGTCTTATATCGGTAATCTAAGCTCCCACTTCAAGAAAATAGAACAGAAAAACATAAACCTAGCAGAAGAAAAGATATAACAATAGAAATAAATGAAATTGAAAACAAAAAAAGAGAAAAGACAATGAAAAAATGTCTTATTTTAACAAAAATCAACAAAGCTGACTAATCTTTAGCTAGCCTGACAAAGAAAAAAAAGAGAGAAGCCACAGATTACTAATATTAGGAATGAAACATTGGATATTATTACAGACTGCAGATTTCCAAAGGATAATATGAAAATATTAGAAATAACTCTACAAACATAAATTTGACAGCTTAGATGAAATTGATCAATTTCCTGAAAATCAAAAATGATGCAAACTCACCCAATAAAAAATATACAACTTTAATAGCTTTATAACTGCTTGAAATTTTAATTCATAATTAAATTCCCCACCTTCCCCCGCCTGGCAAAATCTTCAGATCAAAATGTTTTCATTGGAGAATTCTGTGAAACATTTAAGTAAGAATCAGCATCAATTCTACACAATCTCTTCCAGTAAATGGAATAAGAAGAGACACTTTCTAATACGTTATGTGAAGCCAGTAATACTCTTATATAAGAATCATACAGACAATACCACAAAAGAAAATTACAAAACCCTCATAAATATAGGGGCAGAAATTCTCAACAACATATTAGCATATAGAACTCAGCAATATATAAAAATAATTATACAATATGATTGAGAGAGATTTCTTCCACAGATACAAGGCTGGAACAACAGTCAAAAGTTAATTAATCCATATTAACAAGCTAAAGAAGATAAATAATAATATTTGATGCAAAAGAAAACGTTTGATGAAATTCAATATCTGGTCATGATAAAAAAAACTCAGAAAACTAGAACTAAAGGGGACTTTTTCAACTTGATTGAAAAAATATACCAAAATATTATCGCTAACCACATACCTAATGGTAAAAAATTAAACACTTTCTCTCTAATATCAGGAACAAAGTTAGGATGTTCTTTCTTACCAACTTATTCAATATAGTGCCAGAAATTTTAGCTGGCATGATAAGGCAAAAGAAAAAATGGCATATAGATGAGAAAAGAAGAAAGAAAACTATTTCTATTTACAGATGACATGAAGGTTTCCATAGAAAATCTAAAGAAGTAAAAAAAAACCTAGAATGAATAATTGAATTCAGCATAGTTGCAGGATAAAAGATCAAGACACCGAATCAGTCGCATTTTTATACTAGCAGTGAAAACATGGAAACAAATTAAAATTACAATACCATTTACAATTAACCAAAAAATTGAAATATGCAGGTGTAAATCTAATGTATAGGAGGTGAATGTTAAAAAGTGAAAAAACACTAATTAAAGGGATCAAAGACAAGTAAATAAATGGAAAAACTTAATGTGTTCATGGATTGGAAGACAGCATGGTAAAGTTGTCAATTCTTCTCAAATTGATGCACAGGCTTATGCAATTCTGATCAAAATCCCAGGAAGATATTTTTATAGATATAGAAAAGATCTAAACTCTCATGGAAATACAAAATAATTAGAATGGCTAAAGCAACTTTAAATAATAAATATAAAATAAAGGCATTATTGTACTTGTTGTCAAGACTTACTATATAATTATAGTCATCAAGATCGTGTTGTATTGGCAATCTACAGGTAGATCTATGTAACAGAATAGAAAATCCAGAAATTGTCAAAAAATAATATTGTACTATTATAAATCATATTTATCATATTGTATTGGTCTAAGATACAAAAGCAATTCAATGCAAAAAAATAGTTTATCAACAAATAATGCTAGAGCAATTAGATACACATAAGCAAAAAAGAAAAAGGAAACAAGATTTTAAATCTAAAACTCACACTTTATCCAAAGCTAACTCAATATGGATCATATACTTAAATGTAAAACATGAAACTAAATAAGGGGATGGAAGAGATAGTGTGAAGTTGGTTAATAGATGGAAAAGTATAGCTAGATCGAAAGAGTAAGCTCTAATGTTCTATAGTACTACAGGGTGACTATAATTAACAATAATTTATTGTATATTTTCAAACAGAATATTTTGAATGTCCCAGCACAAAGAAATGAGAAATGTGTGAGGTGATGGATATGTTAATTACTCTGATGTGATCATTATACATTGTATACATGTATGAAAATATCACACCATGCCCCACAAATATGTAAAATTAGTATATGCCAATTAAAAATAGTAATAAAAGCAAAAAATGTTTAGGAAAAAACAATAGGTAAAATGTTCAGGTTCTAATTTTTGGTAAAGAGTTCTTGGATATGCCACCAAAAGCACAAAAGAACAATTGATAAATTAGAACTTCATCAAAATTAAAACCATTTGCTCTTTGGAAGACCCTGTTAAGAGAAATAGAAGAAGAGCTGCAATCTTGGAGAAAATATTTGCAAACCACATTTCTGACAGAGAACTCATATCTAAAATATATAAAGAACTCTCAAAACTCAGTGGCTAAGAAACAGCCAGTAAGAAAATGGGCAAAAGACATGAAGAAATGTTTCATGAAAGTGGAGCTATGAATGACAAATATGCACATGAAAAGATGTGTAAATCACTAGCTATAAGAGATAGGCAAATTAAGACCACAATTAGATATCACTACACATCTCTCAGAATAGCTAACATAAAAGTAGTGACAACACCAAATGCTAGACAAGATGCTGAGAAACTAAATCTCTCCAGCACTACTGATGGAAATTTCCAGTGACCCCTTGGGAAATTAGTTTGGAACTTGCTTTAAAAAGTAAATATATGTTTACCATGCAATCTGGTTTTTGTACCCTTGGGCATCTGTCCCAGAGAAATGAAAATATATTTACGCAAAAATCCTGTACATCATTGCTCATAACAACTTTGTTCATAATAGCCGAAAAGTGGGCAAAACCAAATGTCTCTAAATGGGTGATCAATGATTAACTGGGACACCCACACCAGGCAATACCACTCAATAATGAAAAGGAGTGAATTACTGATACACCCAACAAATAGTTGAACTCCCTTTTGCTGATAATTCCATTGATGTAACATTTTCAGATGACAAAACTACAAAGTTGAAAAACAGATTAGTGTTTGCCTTTGGTTTGGAATGGTGGAGGAGGTGGAAAGGGGTCAGTGCAACTATAAAAAGGGAACAGGAGAAAGATCTTTGAGATGAAGGAATATTTATCTGTCTTGATCAGGATGGTGACTACACATGTGATTAAAATGACATAGAAGCAAACACATGCTTTACTGCAATGTGAACTTCTTGATTTTCATAGTTGTGCTATAATTATCTAAGTTCTAACCATGACAGCAAACTGGGTGAAGAAGACACAGGAACTCTCTGTGCAATCTTTGCAACTTCCCATGAATCCATAATTATTTTAAAATAAAATGTTTAAGAAATAATAACTAGTCTTCAACCTTCAGTATCTTTCTAACAGAATTGCCTTTTTATTGATGAAAAGAAATGATGGGAACATTCTAGTCCAGTGATTATAAAGATGGTCCTAGGAACAGCATGAGTAGCAACATCAGCACCACCTGGGAACTCACAAAAAATGCAAATACTCAGCCTGACTTCAGACCCACTCAGTCAGAAACTCTCAGAGTGGGCCTAGCAGTTTGTGTTTTAAGAAGCCTCCTGGTGAATCTGATGCATGTTGAAGTTTGAAAACCACTGGCCCAGGAGCAAGGAGTCCTAGTCTTGAGCAAGATCATGACTATAGCCTGAAGAAAAGCCATATTCCCTCTGGCATGGCTATATCCACGCTCTCTCCATATCATGTGAAAATTAACAAAGTGCTGCACGTTGTACTCCACAGACTTCTCCATACGATCATACACTCGAAATCATTAAACGTGAATACTGAGCATTTCAAAGTAAATATATTCAAAGTCATTACAATTAACTCAACTTTACACTGTTATGATTATACTCTTCATTCACTCTAGTCCCAGATTTATTTGAAACTCTAAAATGTTAAATCCAAGGTCATATCTAGACACAGGTGCCTTTCAATAATGTAAAATCATAATTATAATACTTGCCTGCTCACTTCACAGGAATTTTGTTAAATCATATGAGATAATTTATTTGAAGGATTTGTGAAATACTTCCACAGCCTACACAAATAGTTTTTATCACAATCAATTATAATATATATTTCAATACTTAATAATAAATATTTTGTCAATATTCTCAATATGCACTTATCACTTCTTAGCCAATTCTCACATGGCCAGTGGCTTGCATATGCAATCTCTAGCCTTCATAGGAGATGCTCATTACAGATAATTGTAACTACATATGACTCTGAGAGGAGGGATAAATGCCCATGGACTCATCATTGCTGGTCAAACTCAGATTTGAAGCAGACTAGCAGATTCCAAATATGGCACTGTTCTTTCTCACTACATCTCTGGCCTTCTCAGTCACAAAGACACTTTCCAGACACCAAAAAGAAAAAAAAAACAACAACATTAAGCAGTCAGCTGATTTTCTTACTTTTCGATCTAAAACATATTCAAGTTATCAACTGTGAATAACCATTGTCAATTGCCAATGAACGTAGTAAAAAGAAAAAGGATTGTGTGTGTGATTGCACACACATAACTATAGAGCTATCTCATGTTAGAAAGTGGGTTTGCATCTGGAGTTAAAACTGAAAAAAAAGTTAACAGCACTTTTTGTGGAAGACTCCTTGACAAAAACCGAATTTTATGAGTTTTCTTTGTGAAGAATAAAAGGAAGTTTATTGTAACAGGAACAGTGGAAAGGAGTAAGGGGAAAGAAAGAAGATATGCCAGTAAATAGTTAAGCTGACTTTCTAGGAAACATTCCCAAATGATGAGCCAATTCTTATTTATTTAAATAAAGTGACAAAGCTATGGAAATAGGATGCAAGTATTTTGTATTATAATCACATTCTTGTGTCCATGGCTTTGAAAATTACTAATCTACTCATCTGACAAAGGGCTAATACGCTACAAAGAGCTCAAACAAATTTACAAGAAAAAAAACAAACAACCCCTTCAAAAAGTGGGCAAAGGATATGAACAGACATTTCTCAAAAGAAGAGATTTATGCAGCCAAAAGACACATGAAAAAATGCTCATCATCACTGGCCATCAGAGAAATGCAAATCAAAACCACAAAGAGATATCATCTCACACCAGTTAGAATGGCGATCATTAAAATGTCAGGAAACAACAGGTGCTGGAGAGGATGTGGAGAAATAGGAACACTTTTACACCGTTGGTGGAACTGTAAACTAGTTCAACCCTTGTGGAAGACAGTGTGGAGATTCCTCAGGGAACTAGAACTAGAAATACCATTTGACCCAGCCATCCCATTACTGGGTATATACCCAAAGGAATATAAATCATGCTGCTATAAAGACACATGCACACATCTGTTTATTGCGGCACTATTCACAATAGCAAAGACTTGGAACCAACCCAAATGTCCAACAATGATAGACTGGATTAAGAAAATGTGGCACATATACACCATGGAATACTATGCAGACATAAAAAATGATGAGTTCATGTCCTTTGTAGGGACATGGATGAAGCTAGAAACCATCATTCTCAGCAAACTATCGCAAGGACATAAAAACAAACACCGCATGTTCTCACTCATAGGTGGGAGTTGAACAATGAGTACACTTGGACACAGGAAGGGGAACATCACACACTGGGACCTGCTGTCGGGTGGGGGGAGGGGGGAGGGATAGCATTAAGAGATATACCTAATGTTAAATGAAGAGTTAATGGGTGCAGCACACCAACATGGCACATGTATGCATATGTAACAAACCTGCACGTTGTGCCCATGTACCCTGGAACTTAAAGTATAATAAAAATATATATATATATATATATATATATAAAGAAAATTACTAATAGTCCCCAAATGTACATAAGTTCAGGGACTCAAAGTAAATTTAGGGAAGATGGTCAAGTAATGCAATAGCTGATGATGAGCAGGAAGCCACTGCCAGGAAAGAGAGAAGGCAGCAGGCTTCGGGTGGATTTGGTAATAGGCCTGCTGTTTATGCACATAGGTCAAACTGAAAGCGTGTTCTATTACATAAGGGTGATGAATCTGCTCAACACATTTCCTCTATTGGCAGGTGAAACTAAATTTGTTTAAATGGCATAATCTAAATTTCTGTCTGAAGAGAATTCACTAAAAAAAAGGGCACTCCATGCCAAGTTTAGTGCCCTCCACAGAGACAGCTCACTGCAAAATAGTCACTCCAACCATAAAAATGATCCTGGTTTGGATCCAAATACTGAATAATAAAAATGCTAGATTTGGGGAGAGTGCATTCTTTGCAAAAGTGTGATAAGAGGTGGGAACAATCCAGGGGGATAAAGTAATGGAATTCTACAAAGGCCAGCAAGGGGAAATGGAAAATATTTAATGACAAATTAATGTATGCCCAAGGGTTAGGAATGTCACATACCAATAAGTACAGCCGGAGTGAACAAAAGTCAATGTGGATAAATCAGGAGGTGCAGAAAGCAATCAAGGTATGAGAGAGAAATATGTGGAATATAAAACACTACATCCAGATGTAACAGAGGAGATTATAGAATGAATTCAAGTGTAAAAAATATATAAGAAAAGCAAAGATGAAAAATGAAAGGAAGATTGCAGGGAAGTTTAGATAAATATCAGAACATTTTTCAAAGCACTAAGGGTAAAGAGGTCAGCATAAGAGACAGTAAATGTTGAAAGACAGAGACAGGTAATTTATTGACCAAATAGTGGAATCTAAAGAATTAAATGCATCCTTTCATTTATTTTTCACAAAAAAAATAAGGGAGTGAGTGCGTGGAGGCATGAGACAGATTCAGCCAGTGCTTGGTGAAATGATGTGGTGGCTGAAATGAGTGATCAAGGAATTAGGGTATATGACAGTAAATAAGTTTCTCATTCTTTTTTCCTTTTACTCAAAAGACATTAGTAAATGTTAAACTTGGGTATCAGAGAAAACATCATAGAATAAATCTAAGCCTAAAAAGATAACGAAATTCTCTATATCCTAACATTTACAGTATATCTTGTTTATATTCTGTTTAAACTGCTTGAGTTGAAAGTGTCCTGTTTTAAGAAAAAAATTCCCTCCTATATGTAAGTGTATAAATGTGTGTGTGTGTGTGTGTGTTTAGCTGACCTTCTAGGAAACATTTCCAAATGACAAAAAAATTCTTATTTATTTAAATAAAGTGATAAATCTATGGAAATAGGATGCAAGTATTTTATATTACAATCACATTCTCATGTCAATGGCTTTGAAAATTACTAATATCCCCAAATTTTCATAAGTTCAGGGACTCAAAGTAAGTTTAGGAAAGATGGTCAAGTAATGTAATAGCTGATCATAAGCAGGAAACCACTGCCAGGAAAGAGAGAAGACAGCAGGCTTTGGGTGGATTTGGTAATAGATAATTTGGTACGCACACACACATTTATACACATATATGGTACATGAGAGGGAATTTTTTTCTCAAAACACATATATATATAATACACATATGCATCCTTCTGTACATGGGTTATATATATACACACATACGTGTGTGTGTATATGTGCAAATACATACACATATTAATTTCTCTCTATATATACATACATATAAAACATATACCAATACACCTATATCTATATCTATATACTTACATACATATGCAGAGAAATCAAATCTCTATTTGGAAATAAAAACGTACATGAATTCAACTGACTAGAAGCTCCTCTTCTTGACCACAACGTATTGTGACATTTGAACAGTTTAAATAACTTTAATAGTGTCTTTTGTTCTTTTCTCACTGAAATGCTCTGGATGGCTTATTTTGGGAACACATTTTATCCGAAAAATAATTGGTTGTAAAGATTATCCTCTGAGGCTTCCAAGAGAGTTATTTGCCTGATTTGTTTTCGGCCTCAGTACCTGACTGAGCATTTACATACTTTAATGTGAATTTTAAATGGCAGACCCCACGAAAACCCCATTTCTGAAACAATGCCCTAGTGACAAAATGCCCCCACTCTCCACTGTACCAGAAAGGCTTCCTCCCCATGCAACCCCTTGACTACCACCACCTGCGTGTGCCTTCCCCTCTCATTTTCTCTGGAGCCTGGTGGTTCATCCTTTGTACTCTCTCTGGGAGGAAAGCCTGCCTATTGGCTGACTTCTCCATCCATCAGTCATATTCCCCTTCTCCCATACTTGTATCTTAAAATTTAAGTATATTTTTGCATTATTCAATTAGACTAGAAGTTAATTGATGACAGACTGTGTGCCTAGGTCATCTCTGCACCCACCATAGTTCCCAGCTTAACATTTTAAAAAACTATGCTTAACAAATTACAGAAAAAACGAATGGCCCTGTCTAGGCAGAACCTAAGTGATATAGTTTGGATATTTGTCCCCTCCCAAATCTCATGTTGAATGGTAATCCCCATTGGTGGAGGGGGGTTCTGGTGAGAGGTGTTTGGATCATAGGGGCAAATCCTTCATGAATGGCTTGGGCCATCCCCTTGGTGATAAGTGAGCTCTTGCTCTGAGTTCATATGAGATCTGGTGGTTTAAACATGTGTGCCCCTCACCCCCACTCTCTCTTTCTCTCTCACTTGCTCCTGCTTTCACCATGTGACATGCCTGCTCCTGCTTCACCTTCCACCATGAATAAAAGCTTCCTGAGGCCTCTCCAGAAGTAGATGCAATTATTTTTTGGGTAAAATTTGTTCCCAAAATAAGCTATCTAAAGCATTTCAGTGAGAAAATAACAAAAGACATTATTAAAGTTTCTATCAACAGAAGCAGATGCTGTTGCCATGCTTCCTGTACAGCCTGCAGAACTATGAGCCATTAAATCTCTTTTCTTATAAATTGCCCATTCTCAGGTATTTCTTTATAGCAATGCAAGAACGGTCTAATACATATTTCACATTGCATGCCTGTATCAAAGCATCTCATGTAAGCCATGAAGATATGCACTATGTACCCACAAGTTTTCTTAAAAGAATGGTCTAATACACTGAACATGCATGGCAGCTATGTATTATCTTCAGTCAGGAGCTAAAAGCCATCTGTTACAGTGTCTGCAAATATATGATGAATTTATAATGTGAACATACAGAGCCCTTGTTATCTGCATGGTTATATAGGTGTGATAGAGTATTAGCGTTTCAATATATAGGCATGATTTCAAAGTAAATAGAATTGAATTGTAGGTCTTTATTCTGTTCAGCATCATATGTTAGTCCTTAAGGAAAGCTCATGGAAAGCAATCTTCAGTCCCCTCTGTCCATCTACAGCCCCCATATTCATACCAAGATGATGGGTGTGTCAAGACTCAAGGGCAAGGACATTATTGGATTATTGACTGGAAAATGCATCTTTTGCTGCACCTGATAAAAATGTTAGACTCTTGAGTCTGCAGGCCATAGCTTCTTTGGATTGCCTTAATCCCATTTTACTGTCACAATAAGAGAGATGTGGCGTGGCCTCCTGCCTGGAGGAACTTAAGGCCTTCGGTGGGTTGCTTCATAAAGGTTTTTTTCTGAGAACCAAAACATTTCTTTAGATTCTAAAATACTTAGTTACAGGAAAGTTTCTTAGAATTTCTTCACACCCACATAGCATGTATTTAATACACATTGTTAGACTTTTACATTTTGACTAATAGCTTGAAATTTTTAAAAAGTTAAACATTCATTAGCTCATGATAGCAAGATTATAGGGAAGAAAACGTTTACTTATAACAACGAATATTATAAATTTGGGGATTTCTTTGGAGTTCATATTTACCTAATAGTTCATATAATTAGTTGGGAAAAGGAGCAACTAACTTTTCAATAGACTCATATCAAGTTCTATTACTGTGTATGGCAGAGAATTCAGGTCATGAAATGCTACTGTGTTCTTTGAAAAATTCATTCCTTGAAAAAAACTTCTTACAAAGTCATATGCAAGGAAAGATCTGAAGCTGCTGGCAGCCCACCATTTCTATCTATGGCAACAAAAGACCACAAACCTCTGGAGTTGGAGAGGGATTCGAGTAATCAGGAACAAAACGACAAGACATCTACAAACTTACAAGTTAATTCAAGTGAGTCACCATGAGACACACACATGTACAAGATTTAGTCTAACACATCTGATGGCTTGATTGAATATTTAAAGGAAATCATGAAACAAAATTACAAAGGGAATTTATGGACACAATTTCTTTCTCAATTTCTCTTGAATTGAGAAAGGCTTTTTATACATGGTGCTATATAAATGAAGACAAACCCAGAGGGTCAATAATTATACCATGAAGCATGATCCAGAATGATAGAAAAAGAGCAATGTTTTACAAATCAAAAGAAATAAGGAAAAAATAAAACATTATTCCAGTCTGTTCCATGTTCAAATACAATTTCACAGCTTCATCATAGGGAGTCAGTAAAATGGCATCAGGGAAAGTTGATCCAGGTGTTTGAGATGATTATGAAATAGTCTTATTATTATTTAGAAACAAACAACTTTGTGTTCACAAGAAAATAGAAGGAAGATAGCTAGCTGCTTCCAGCTCCACTGTATTTTCAAGATTTCCTAAACATTGCTGGGTCCCCAGGAAATGGAATTGATTCTTGCAAACTGGAGTTACATACTACCATTAAGCGTCACATTATCTTGTATTGCACTGTCAAATCTCAGCCCCCACACATTGCCAGGACCAGCTTCACACAAGTATGGTTTGATGGAGCTTCATCCCCAAATCACGCTGTTCCCTGCCCTACCTCCCTGATGCCTCAGGGAAGGGGGACCACGAAGTGCTCACGCTTGCAGAACACAGAGCTGGGGAGAGCCAGGAGGTTGGTGCTCCTGGGGCCACCCTTGACTGACGGAAGACAAGGGCCAATGGATAAATTCTTCACCTCTCATCTGCCATAAGCTGATTCTAAGACACATTTTTCAAAACTCCCTGGAAGGTTAAACAATGAGTCACCCTTAGTGGTGGCCAACAACATCACATTTCACATAAACTTCCTTCTCACAACACAAGCAGTTGGATCAAGGTTTTCATGAGGGAGGACACAGATTAGATACATCACAGTTAGAATTTCTTTTGAAATTCTAACCCTCCAGCCACAAACTCTGAGAGAGAGGTCTCTTTTGTTCTTTAACAGTAGACATAGGTGGTACACTTGAGCCTCTCTACTTCTTCTCCTTAAGGCTACACTTTGACTTAGACAGACTCCTGAGTATGTTACATATACGTGGAGCAATGGTGATGGACGAGGGCTCTGCATATGTCCTGTTATCCAAAAGGGTTGCCATAAAATACAACCATCTCAGTGATATCTGCGTATTTTTGTTCATTTCTGTCAGCTCTTTACTTTTGTTCCAGGAAGCTAAATGTTTAGTTATTATTCAGTAAAACTCAGAAGTCATATGTTTTCAGAATGGTTATACAAGTAGTTTTTGTTTTGTGTTGTATTGTTTTGTTTTTAGCACAGTTTTGATTCCTGGTACATTTGTATTTCTTACTGTTCTTTGCATTCAAACTGTTTCCATGATTCCTGCTACATTTTCAACTTCAGGATTAAAGGATTTATAAAAAGGAGCAAACTTTTATCACAATGATGTTCTTATTGTGCACCATGCCAAATACTAGACATTTTATATGAATGTATAAAGATACGCTGGCACTAGGTTACAGAGCTAGGAGCGTGCACTTGATTTTTGGTTTCTGAACCAATAATTAAAGAGTTTGGATGTTATTTCCATCCTTACAGTATGACAAAAAGGCTAACAAAATAAAAAGCGACTCCCCTTAGATCCACTGGCGAACTGAAGTCATAGGACAAATTGCCACCTTGAATGTTGAAGAGACAGGTGGATCATAGCTTACTGGCAGAGAAATCAATGCCAGGGCCAGAAACTGGTAGGAACACTTGCAGAAGATTTGACTAACTGTTGGGAATGGTGTGCAGACTAGCTTGAGAGATAAAAATGCTGGGGGGTGGAGGGGGGTGTCACACGCTCAGCAAAGACCCCAAAACTGGATGAGTTTCACCTCAAGAAATCCACCCAGGTTTTTACTGTGAAGAATAGAAAAAGATCCCCACTGACAGGGAGAGGGGAAAGGTAGCCAGTTGACATATACCTAGAGTGTTCTCTTCTCCTTAAAAAAGGCCTTCCCTCAAGAAAATCTATTTCACCAGAGTTTAACCAACATGCAGTTACCCAATGTTGGTACTCAATACCAAATACCTGACTCTAGGCCACTCTAACCCATGATTTGAAGAAGGGAACTGCCCAACTCCAGCTCCTTCTAGCCTTCGACATGGAGGAAGGGACATATCCAACTCAGAATAAGTAAAAGACTGAGAACCAATAAAGGATTATAAAACACTTCCCCTCTCTTCCCACCTTCTGACCCTTCTACAGGCTCCTGTATAATGCCAAGGAGTTTCATTAAAAGAACTGTCCAGCTCAGAGTCTATTTCAGATGGAGTCTCTAATAAACCCAAAGACCAAAATAAGGACATTAGAAAAAATTTTAGTCTCTGACATTACAGGAACAGCAAACAGCCAACAGAGACTAAATCCTAGTCAGACAAACATGAAACCTCACACTAAAGACCTGTTTAACCCCAGTTCCTTATACCCAATACGTCCTGTTGGCTTTTAACAAAAACATTACAAGTCGTGGTAAAAAGAAGACAACACAGTCTGAAGAGACAAAACAAGCACAAGAACCAGACTGAGATATGGCAGAGATCTTTGGAAGTATCAGACCAGGAATTTTGAATGATTAATTTGCTATGGGTTCAAATGGAAAAAGTGGAAAACATGAAAGAATAGATGGATACTGTAAGCAGAGAGATGGACACTCTAAGAAAGCAAGTCATTTACAACATAACAACACTTTTCTGAGACTTACTAGGAAGTAAAAGAATCATTCTTGCTGCCAGCATGGTAGCCACCAGCGACCTTTGCTGACCCAGTGGAGTTATGGACTTGTGGGAGCCGTTTCTTTATGGCAGGTGAACTCCCGCCCACCCGGCTCCAGCCACATGAGGGAATGTTCCAAGATATTTTATTATCAAGAGTTGAGATATCGGCCGGGCGCGGTGACTCACGCCTGTAATCCCAGCACTTTGGGAGGCCGAGGCGGGTGGATCATGAGGTCAGGAGATCGAGACCATCCTGGCTAACAAGGTGAAACCCCGTCTCTACTAAAAATACAAAAAATTAGCCGGGCGCGGTGGCGGGCGCCTGTAGTCCCAGCTACTCGGGAGGCTGAGGCAGGAGAATGGCGTGAACCCGGGAAGCGGAGCTTGCAGTGAGCCGAGATCGCGCCACTGCACTCCAGCCTGGGCGACAGAGCGAGACTCCGTCTCAAAAAAAAAAAAAAAAAGAAAAGAGTTGAGATATCTGGCTCACGCCTGTAATCCTAACACTTTGGGAGGCTGAGGTGGATCACTTGAGGCCAGGAGTTCAAGATTTGCCTGGGCAACATAGGAGCCCCATATCCACCAAAAAAAAAAAAAAAAAAAAAAAAAAAAAAAAAAAAAAAAAAAAAAAAGGAGAAGAAAAGAAAAAAAAGAAAATTTTTACAAAAAGAAATACCTGCAAGAAAAAGAGATTAACTTCTTGTTTCCCATTTGGAGTTATTTTATGGACACTGTAGCTCTTGGGGTTGACCCATCATTGAAGGTAGATAGGTGCCATGCCAGACCCCTATTAACTTCAGTAGGAATGGCACCAGGTTCAAGAGGCAGAAGAGACCCAGGGCCAGCAAAGGAGACAAAGGATTTTTTAAGCAGGAACCTTACATACAGGGATGGTCCAGTGACAGCGGGCTGGACAGGAGAACTGTAAAGTCTTGCAAAAAGAATGCAGTTTATATAGCATTTTCACTTAGAACCCTCTCCCTAAATCTCGCAACTGAAAACGTTCATTTAACCAGAAGCAAAGGACCTCAATCCCCTGTATGGCCCATGTTCCACAAGACTGGCAGAAGGTTTCGATGTTCCTCATAGATAAGGAATGGATCTCTGAGTTGGCCATTTCCATATTCTTTAGCTTGGAATTCTGAACACATATTCAGGTGTGTCTGCCATACAGGATCATTCTCAAGGTATGCTTAAGTTATTGCTGTCAGGTGCCTCTGCCAAATGCTAGGCATGAGCCATCATTTTAGTACCCCACCTAAGAGGCTTTGGGACATGGGGCCAGTAGTAGGAAGAGGGAAGGGATAGGAGATGTCCAACAGAGTTTCATCTCCCACGTCAGGCACCTTGAAGTGCAATAGCTCCTCTGAAGAACTTACACATGAACCCTCCTTAAATGTCTGGCACAGAGGACATCAATAGTCTATCAGTGGGAATCAGAGACCACCACCAAAAAAAGTCAACTAATTACAGAGACTTGTTCTTTTCTCTCTTTTTTCATCCCATCCCAACACATAGAAATAACTTGTCCTTGGAGAGGGAATATAGGGAAGGAGAGGTCTTCCAGAGGGAGATCATACCATTCTCCAAACAGTCAGTATTTCAGCTCAGCTTGATCTTGGCATTTTGGTTGAGAAACAAAATTAAGCCCTGTGAGCTGTAGGGTCCATGAAAATGTCTTGCTTTGTCGATCTGTGGCGTGCAGGCTATTCCAGCATCCCAGCTCTCCGGTTCTCGTCTCTCCTCTCCATATTAGGCATAGGGGCACACAAACTCACTAGACATCCTGCCAGAACTCCAAATGGGAAATGAGAACTTAGTCTTTCCTTTTAGACTAATGTTTTAAGTCAAAAATGATTTGAGACTCAAAGTAATCTGAAAGTTGACAGACCCACCCGAAATTTCATTAAGAGACTAACAGCAGAGATCTAAGAGCAATGTTACAAACACTGATTGGAGAAAAGTCAACTCTCTTAACCTTGATACTTCTTCAAGCACAGATGGGACTATTCACCAGTTGTAAATGTTATGAAATTTAATCCTTCTAACATCCTTGTGATGCCTACATTCTTATTTCTACTTTTTGAAGAATATGTGACTGAAGTTTAGGTTAGTTTAAATCACATCCCCAAGGTCCCACAGCTAGAGTAGATGGAATGTGAACCTCAGGTACTTCGGTTTCAGAGCCCCTATTCCTTCTACCATATTCCATTGCCTTCATAGAGAGTAGAATTTGGTAACCTTCTAAACTGGTAACATTCCAGTTGAAATTTAGCATGCTTTGTGTGAAGCCCTACACAAAGAATGCTACAATGCTTTATGAATTTACATCACAAATTGATAATTATATTATTTCTAAGTTTCACAAATCCCTTAGGTTTTTTCAAGGAGAAATCAATATTACTTTACACTATCTCTAATTGTATTTGTATAAATAATGTTATCAATTACAATCCATATTTTAACATTTTTTTTTAAGGATCCATTCTAATTCGGGGTCATTTTAGCTACTGCTCCTTAATCTTTCTCACTAAGGAACACTAAACCACAAAGTGGTAGTTTGGAGGATCCTGCTATTTCAGATCCCCTTTCCTTTAATTTGCATGATCTTGCACACAGAACATTGTAACATCTATTGTTATTACTACTGAATATCAGTAATTTTGCTCTTTCTATTCTTCCTCAATGTTGTACCATTAATTTCCCACTTATTCTTAAGTTTTCAAAATGCATCTCACAAATACTCACACGCTCTTCCCAAATACCAGGAAATCAGGCTGCCACTGACTCCCCCATGCCTACATTTTCTACCACCACCCCACCCACCCGTATGTCTTTCTTTCATTGGAATTATTTCAAACTCTACTTTGTGGCCAGGAAATATAATCCCAGAATGTCACGTGAGTGGGAAGAGGCTGAGGATTTTGCCTTTGAGAGGCTGAGTTAGCCCCTGAGGTACACATGAGCATAGTGTCATTCTTATTTTTATTTTGCTCAGAGAAGGTTAATGTGTCTCTTCCATCCAGCTGAAGTTCATTTAACTGCATGTGAGGCTATGGAAATGTTGGTAGTGACTGACCATTGTATCCATTCTTTGCCCTCGACTTCTTGACACACATCATTCAGGCTGCGGTTTTAAACATTCACATAAAACAGCTCTTGCTTTACAAAGCAGCAGCCTGTTTTCTTTTGTATTACCCTGTTTGTATGAAGATCAGAATCTCAGCCCCCTGCAAAATACTGAATATTCCCCTTTTGATTTTACTGCCAGGGCAAGAATGATAGTACCTGTTTTTGCAAATTTCCTCATTCATGCAACCATCCAGGATGGACTAGTCATTAGTCTGATGTTTTCAGGGAACTGGTCTAAAAGGAGAAGGAGAAGCCTGTGTCTTGAATGAGGGGCCACATTGGGAGAGCGAAGGAACTTTGAACCTGGATTGAGCACAAACAGATTTCTCAGAACCCTAATTTATTTTTATTTATTTATTTATTTATTTTTGAGACGGGGTCTCACTCTGTCTCCAGGTTGGAGTACAGTGGCACGATCTCAGCTCAAAACAACCTCCGACTCATGGGCTCAAGCAATCCTCCCGCCTCAGCACCCCCAGTAGCTGGAACTACAGGCAGGCACCACCACACCTGACTAATTTGTGTGTGTGTGTGTGTGTGTGTCTGTGTGTATGCGTGTGTTTTTTGTAGGGAAACTGGGTTTTGCCATGTTGCCCAGGCTCCAGAACCCAAATTTAATGAGCTTTGATCAAAAACAAAGTTTACATCTATACCAAAAGTCAAGGGAGGAACTAACTCTTCCTCTTTGCTGTTCTAAATCCAGGAAATCAGCTTATAAATTGTCAATATTAAGCCAATTTAAAAAAATTCACCTTACTTATATCCCTTCTTACTTGCATTTAACTTGTCCATAGGGACAAGCCAAATTTTGTTAGCATGTTCTGGTCTTTAAAGGAGCATCCTCAGGATACTGATGAACAGATTTCTTTTTGGCCATATATTTGTCATGAAAATTGCTGAGACTGAACTGACACAAGATTGGTAAACACCTCCATAATAATGTGAAGGTGAAATGGGGAGAAAAACTATAGCTTTGCTATGACTTTGATGGAAAGCCAGCCTCCACCCCACCCCACCAATCAACTAATACTAGCAAATGAAAATGCTCAGCATATGCTATGAAAAAAATGAGTATGGTTTTCAATTCCCACCGATGTCATTTCTGAAACACTTGGCATAAGACCTATGAGACTGGGAGGCTGTTATTTGGTTTTACCCATTCTGAAAATTACAGGGAGAAAATCATAGGCTGGTATCAGGTGTCCAAATCTTCATCTCAAAGGGTGAATCATAAAACTATTATAAAAAATGTATCCTGCTGCAGTGACAGCTGTCATCCCAAATCTACCCAGTGCAGAGAGCTGTGGTGACAGTCATTAATGCTTTAAATGTGAGATTAGGTTGCGGTGTTTAATGGTGTGGACAAGAAACTTTTTTAGAAAGTTATTGGAAGTAAAACATCACCCCTTTGATAATGGAAAAAACAGCCTAAGGATATGAGATCATTTATGTAATTATGCAAAGTATTGTATATTGATATTATTGTGTGGTTTTTGTGTGTCTTTCTTACTTGTGAGTAGGTGAAGTTTAAATTAAAGAGACGACTCATTTTGTTACTGTTGCTTTTGATGTTGGCAAATCTGTCCTTAACTACTATTTTAGAAAATGTGCAAAGTATCATTATGACAAACACAAAGGATCATAGAATTTTGAAGAAGAACCTGTTTCATATGAAAGGAAACTGAGGTCAGAGAAGAAGTAAATCTCAAGCTTACATTTCTATACTCAGTTAGCTGCAGAAGAAAGACTAGTACTTAAGTTTTCAATGTTTTGTTTGGTAATGAGTCAAATATTACTATGATAACTGGAGCAAGGCCTAAAATATTTTTGTTCTCAGCCTTTGCTGTTGTAATTTCTACTACATTAGGACTTTGCCTGCAAACATTTGGTGCCCCTTGAATTATGACAGAAAACTCAGAATGCCGATGGTATGCATTCTGATTTTTTAAGCCAAAAAGTTCAGAAACTGCAAAACTGAATCTCCAAGTCAACTCCCATAAAATCAATCACAAAGACAAATCAAACAGGAGTTAGGGGAAGCCTCTTCTATTGAAGTGAACCACATCAGAATGCCATGGAATTAAAAAAAAAATCATACAGAATACCAAGGAGTTAAATAAAACAGCACTGTACTTTCTCACTCCCATCCCCTCCTGAAAATGCTTTCTTACATTCCCCGTGCTTAGAAAGATCATTCCAAACTTGACAGGTCATTGACTGCAGTGGTCTGAATGTTTGTATCTCCCCAAAATGTGCATGTTGAAATCCTAACCCCCAAGAAGATAGTACTAAAAGGTGAGGTCATTGGGAGGCAGTTATGTCCTGGGGCCACAGCCTTCATGAATGGGATTAGTGTTTCTAGAAAAGCGGCTCCAGAAAGCTCCCCAGCCCCTTCCACCATGTGAGGGCATCTATGAACCAGGAAGTAGGCCCTCACTTGATGCTTAATTGGATTGTGCCTTGATCTTGGACTTCCCAGCCTTTAGAACAGTGAGAAAGATTTGTTTTTGTTGTGTCTAAGTTGTTTATAAGGATTGTGTTACAGCAGTCCAAACCAACTAAGTCACTGACATTCTGAGATAATTTACCTTTCCTGAACACTCTGTTGCATCCTTCTTGGAAGCATTTCTGGAGCAGAGCACCCACTCTCACCTCTTTGGTCAGGCTGTTTATCCAGCAGCTTCTAGAAAGTAGAAGAGCTGTAATAAATCACAGACTTTTGATGATAAAAGAAAGAAAGAAAAAGAATCACCTTGGAGCTGGATAGATTGAGTATTCCTACACAGAACCAGACATCCTCATTCCTTCATCTTTCCCACCTTCCAAAAACCTAGCACTCATTCCATCTCTAGTGGGTTTCCTGAGATCACATGCTGTCAATGCATTAAAACAAGACAAAAAAAACCCAAGAAACCATTTTTGTTACCTACACTGTGATCTTTGTATTAAACCATTTGAACATGAGTTATGTAAGGTCTGATTCCATAGGGTTTATTAAAGTAAAATTGTCTTAGCAAATCTGTCTGTTCCATTTGACTCTGAAGAATAATTGGTTAATGACAGAATAATTGCTTTGTTCAGACATGATTACTGAAGAAATCTTCCATCCATATGTTGCTGAATAATAGGAAATTCTCCAGTAAAGAGGGGACAATGATTAGAAGAAACAAGATAGCTCAAGAGAATATTCCCCAATGTGTTACTACATTTTTTTTTAAAACAGGACAACTCTAAGTAAGTATAGAGTTTCTTTGTACAAGCCTGGAAATGCCTAATAGGATTAAACTGTTTGCCGAAAAAGCACTAGGTAGGTTTCTTTGTCTTTCAAATCAAAGAACTGTGACTTCTAATACTTTATGTGACCATAATAGCTGTTTTCTATGCTAGTATCCTTTTTGTGACCTAATGTTATTCAGGTTGTGGTCTTAAAAGAGCTAAGCTGAACGTTGATAATTCTCCAAATATTCATCAATATGTTTGGTTAAGTTTCCTGCACAGGAATTGACCACAGGACAACCTGATAGGTTAGACCTTTGAGCAGAGGATAAAGGACACTGGATATGTATCAGTTTTACTTAAATTTTAAATGGCCTGCAGTGGCAAAGTGACGACTTGCTATATTTCAAATTTCTCAAAAATCAGCTACAATCAAATGGGAAAACAGTTTGTTTCAATAGAGCTGTTTTGGTTATCTTAATTACTAAATGCAAAGATACATTAAGACGCTCTAAAGAATAGAGTTTGCCTTTTATCCTGAGGGTTCACTCATTCCTACTCCCCACCCAAATAAAACAAAAAACACAATTTCAGTTTTAGTTTCACATTACAAGTAAAAAAATACCAAACCAGTTCATTGCCTTAAATTCATATATGGACTTTTCTGCAAACGACTAATACACTATTTTTTAAGGTAGAGCTATATTTTACTTCTTTAGTTATCCTGCACAAGTAATAACTGACTTGAGCTGAGCACCTATGAATAGAGCTGAAGGTTGTAGTAAAATAAAATTACAATTAAGATTATTTGTTTGAAGAACAAAGCATTATGGACACCACTCAGAGCAGTTCACTCTAACTGGGAATCAGGGAGTTTTCACAGAATACAAGCTATTTCAGCTGTGTTTTGATGAATAAGTAGGAGTTCATCCAAGTGAGCAAGAGGCAAGTCCAGTGTCGATAACAGCCTGTGTAAAGATGTAGAGTCATTCAAGGATGCAGCAGGTTCAAGAAGCTGATAGTTTGATACAGCCAGAGTGTAGCTCTGTGGAATTTTCATATTTAATATGATTATTTGAGGCACACAGGACAAATAGAAAAAGCGTGCTTGAGCTCAGCAACACGGGTGGAGTTTAAAACATAAACTGGGTGTAATCAGTGTGTAGATATTAATTGTTACCGCAAGACTCAGTGAGAACACCTAGAGGCCGAGCACGGTGGCTTATGCCTGTGATCCCAGCACTTTGAGAGGCCAAAGCAGGAGGATGACTTGAGGCCAGGAGTTCAACACTAACATGGACAATATAGAAAGACTCTATTTCTGTAAGATAAAAAAGAGCACATAGAAAGAAAAGAAGATGGAAGATCAAATCCAAAGAACCCCAATATTTATTTAAGATTCATGCACAAGAAAAAAAAAACAGCGACACTGGTAAAAAGTAAAATGAATCAAGGATTAAACACATAAAGAGAAATAAGTTTCATGGGTGTCAAAGGAGATGAAAGGTTGTCTGAGAATATGAGAGAAGGGAAGAGGTGACACAGGAGAAATACTGAAAAGATGCCATCAAATCTGGTATGTTGGAGGTTAATGATGTTAGTACCAAAAGAATTTTAAGGAAAGGTTTTGAAATACTGCCCCAAAATTATTTGACAAGCCCCCCATCAAGTATGGTAGCATGAAAGCTCTGTTGGCCTAGGAAACTGACAGCTCCCACTTCCTGTCTCTTGAATGCTTGCTCTTGGCACACAGACATCATGCTCTGAGCCAGCCCAAGAAGCCCATGGGAAGCCAAGCCCCAACTCCCAGCCATGTATAATCCCTTGCATAAAAGATCAAACAGCTAACAGTCTAGTCACCCTACTGAAGAGAAATGAGACATTCCTGTAGAGCCCTGCCCAAATGGCAAATTCATGATAAAAATAAATAATTGGTATTGTTTTAAGACAATAGGTCATAAGCAGGTTTATTATGCAGCAACAGTAGCTAGAAGAGCTGATGACAATGTTACATGGGGATTTGTTTTCAACTAGGTTGGTAATAAAGAGGAGTTGACTAGGACAGGGGTTTGAAGAAAGGCAGGATAGACATGAAAGTTTTTAAGGATTTAGAAGCCTCGAGCTAGATTGCAGAGGATACCTAAGAGAGTAAAGATTGAATATACAGAAGAAAGTTGCTGTTGTTCAACTGAAGGGAGGAGGAAATGCAAAGGGATGGGATGGAATCTAGAACACAAGTAGTTCCAGAGTTAGAGCTAGTGTTCAGCTTCAGGAACGGATAGACATTTAGAAGGACTAGGGATAAACTTCCTGCTAGAACAAAAGAGGTAAGAGTAATTGTAGATTTTTAAACAAGAACCCTAGTAGTAAAACAACTATTGCAAGAGTCCTTCAGTCAAAATTTTCTAAATAACTTTAAGCAATTATAAAGAGAGCTTCTCTTTTAGATTATAAGGGCATGGGGCATATATTATATTTTATTTATCTTTCTCTTCAACTTTTAACCCTTGCTGTCAAGCTGGGAGAGTAAGAACATTGGAATATTTGGAGTACAACAGCATAGACTAATATGGAGTAGCATAATGTTGGATGTATGCAGGTTGACAATAATTTATGGAAATAATTTTAAGAAAACAGATGCTACCCATTGGGAAAGCCAGGAAACAAAGGTGCATTTTTCCCCATTGCTATACAAGTGAGATTTTCTGGGGTGCAAAGAAATAAAAGCATTATAGCCTTTAAAAGGATTTTATAACTTTGACACCCAAAGAGGATATTAGCAAGAAATCTAGAGATGTAAATGCATCTTCAAAAAATTCCTACTCTATGCACTGAGTAAGAACTTCCTAGAAACTTTAAGTTAGAACAACTCTCAGTTCCTAGGTGGTCAAAGAAGGAGCTAGGGATGGTGAAATATGCCAAGAACAGGGGTTGGCAAATGATGTGCCCCAGGTCAAATCTGGCCCAATACCAGTTTTTATATAACCCAATAGTTAATAATGTTTTTAAATTTTAAATGATCGAAAAAAAAATAACAGGACAAGATTAATATTTCATGCCAGGTGAGAATTATATGAAATTCACATTTCAACGTCAATAAATAGTTTTAGTGGTACAACGGCAGAGCTGAGTAGTCACATTAGAGATCATATAGGTTGCAAAGCTTAAAATATTTGCTACTTTCTGGTTTTTCATGGAAAAATTTGGCAGCCTCTGAACCAGAGGATCCTTTATTTTTTATTATTCTTGCTTTGAAATACATGTATTTCCCTTCGTATCTGTTCCCGTGGAGTAAAGTTTGATTAACATTAACTTATGTTAAAATTCAAGTTTGGGTTTTTTTTTTTTCTTTTTTTTTTAGGAAGAGAAATGGAATTTTTTAGTGGTTATTAATTTCTCTGTTTCTGAAAACACTTGGAAAAGTCCCAGGTTCTTAGTTTGTGTCTACCACTGGGCTGATATCTCCTCAGCAGTTGCACAGACTGCAAGCATATGCTCTTAGTGGAAACATTTTTCTAAATCCATTTCAGAAGTATTTATTGAGCATTGTCCTAGACATTGGAAGTGTGGCAGAGAAAAGGACTGCCAAAGTCTCTGTCATCACAGAGGATATGTTCTTATAGTGGGAGGCAGCAATAAAAAGTAAACAGATGAACCAGATAAGTTGAGATTATTGTAAGTCATATATATATATATAATGAATGGGGGTGGAGAGTGATTTGGTGGGGATAGGGGGACTTATGGAAACAAGGAAGGGCTGTCCAAGGAAATTATCCTTGAGCTGAAGCCTGAATGAGAGAAGGAATCAGCCATGCACAAAACCCAGGGAAGAGTGTGCCAGGCAAAGCAAGTAGTAAATACAAGGTCTGCAGGCCAAGACCAACTTGTGGTCTCTGAGGAAGTGCAAATGCAAGACTCATTTAGTGAGGAAGTGGAGAAGGTGGTATGAAGGAAAACAGGGCAGGGGAAATAAGATTGATAAATAGGGACAGACTTTTAAGTTATTGGCTTTTGGGTCATAGTCAGAAGTTTGAATTTTATTCTAAATACAACAGGAAGCAACTGGTAGACTTTTAAATGGGTGGAAGGTGTGACGTATGATTACATTTTCAAAAAAGCCATCTGGTTGCTATGTTTGGACCTTGATTTCATGATTGCAAGAGTGGAGGCAGAGACTATTGGGGCTACTGCAGAAGGGGGTGAGAAATGGCAGCTGTGGGGCCCAGACAGATGGTGAAAAGAGGGAAAACATGAGCTATGTTTTGGAGGTAAAGCTGAAGTCTTGAATGTAGACATGTAAGGTAAAATAAAAGGAGTAAAGTTAGAAAGAAGCAGTGTTTTGAAAATGATTCCAAGCCCGTATATTTCGGATATATTGAGATAAAAGTCAGGCTAAGGCTCGGAGGAATCCAGCCCTAGAAGTGCCTGAAATCACTAGGGTTGGAGAATGAAAGTGAAGTTTCTGTAGGTAGACTGGGAATAACCTCAGCATCTAAGAGAAAGGAAAGGGTCCTGGGGTAGATGCCATGGAATAGATCCTGCAGCTAGAGGTGAAAAACAAAACAAAACAATCAAAGGCACTAGCACAGGATAGCGGCAATTCATAATGGAACAACATCTTGAGATTAAAAAAAAGTAACACCAAACACTTTGAGGTCTAAAGAAACCCCAAATTAGAAAAGCAATCAGGTTTTTAGTTTTAGTTTTATTTTTTTAGCGGTTTATTGTTTGTTTGTTCATTTGTTTTACAGGAGAGAGACTCGCAATCGACAGCATAGGTACCATCTTTTGCGTTGACAGCCGCTGATGGACACAGGCTTATGTTCAATTCATGTGACATGGAAAGTTAGACAAAGTTTAAATACATTCACCGATAACAAAGTCCAATTTTCAAGGTTGGTAAGGACAACCAGGTAGTCTGGCAGAGGGATAATCCTATTTCAAAGGCTCTAGTCCTGATGCTGGCTCCCACATGCTCAGATTCACACACATGAACATTCATTGCCTACATGACACTTGTGTAAGTCTTGCAAATTCTCTGAAGCTTAAGAGTGGTTGAAATTTGAAAATAAAGCCATTAACTATATAACTTTGATTTATAACTATATAACTTTGATTTATAACTATATAAATTTTAACTATATAAGTTAACTACATATATATGAGTTAATTATAAAATCATGTGACTATAGGATTTTAAACTATATAAGTTTTCTTATATCACACTACATATAGTTTGTAAGTTTAAAAAATTTTAAAGAGAATTCAAAGGTTTTACTTTTGTATAAAGGGCATGAATTTTGACAATTTCTGAAGCTCTACTGGAATCCAAATTCCTCTATGGACAGGTAAGCTAAGTAAGGCAAAGTGAGGTTAGTGACTTGCCTAAGATCACAGAAACATTGAGTAGCACTTCTAGTACCCAAATCACAGGTTTTTTTCTTAAAAGTCAGATATAATTGTATATTTAACAGCAGAAAGAGAAACTTCCACCCAAAGTTGACCTCTTGCAACAGACAGAGCAAAGTGCCACAGTGTACACACAATGTTAAGAAGAGTCTGATTCCAGTAAGATCCTGGACTAACAAACACTTATCTTAGATATATTTGACACTATAATCAACCTCCTTGAGGAAGAAAAAGAGTACTTAGAACGAAAATATTTAGTTAAAATAATTCTTGGGTTTTTTTCCTAAATTTCTAAATTTCTTAAAATATTTCCCTCTAGATCCCCCCAGCCATGACAGCTAACTTTTTCATTGTGATTCCACATTTCCTGGTCTTCGTCTGTTCCAGTTAAGGGCTGGCAAATGCAGAAAAGGTCTTCAAGGTTTTCAAGATGGTTTATTTAAAAGTTCTAGGTGGATAATTTATGTCCATCCTCAGTGTATTCACATCAATTTCCCCACCCCACCCTCACAATATGACAGGCAAAACTCTTTTATTGCAACAGCATTTTTTGGCATAGCAATATGCTTACTGTTTTGTTTATAGCAAAAAAACAAAAAAAAAAGAAAGAAAGAAGAAAAAAAGAAAAGGCTTAAAGTGCTACTTTTCTTCTCTTCTTTTAGAAGCAATCAATCTCCCTCTTACTGAGCTCTTACTATAGGCAACCACTATCCAGAATTATACCACATCAGCTGTGTGGGAAAAAATGCACGCATTGTTTCTTTTTTTCATGAGCAAAGTAGTATTTGCCAGTTAAATCCCCAGGTATTTAGCTTTCCAACAGTCAGATATAAAATTAGCAAATGAAACATCTGTTCCTCACTATTATTTTATAATCACATTAATTGGCAGATGTCTTTAGGTAACAGAGAAAAGCATATCAGCCATTACTTGTATTTCCATGGGGTTATGCTTGTGGCCACTGGATATCACACACCTAAAAGACCATCTCAGCAAGAGATCAAGGTGACACTGGACTCAGGAGCTGGCTTTCTCCCTACTCAAAGCCTCCTGACAGTAGGGCCAACTGCCCACTGACAAGTGCAAACCGGATGCCCTGTTATATGTTGTGGTGGAGAACCTTACCCTCACTGCTGCCAGGTTTGGGTTTTCAATTATCATGTAGTTTGCACAAAAGCACTGTGCCAATTCAATTACTGCCTGATTAATGGAGTGTTGCAGGTTTATTTCAGGGGTCTAGCTATCTATTAATTAGCATATTGGGGCCTATACTCTACTGTTTTGTCCTGATATGCTTTGAAAAGTCCCCAGTGCAATTAAAAACTCTAATATGCTTTAAATAGTTATTTGAGAAAACACATCCAGACTTTTTTAAACTCCTCAGGGATTGTTAAGCACATCCAGATTTATTATAAGGCATCTAAAGTTTCTTTAAAAGCACATTCTTCTTTCCTCTACTAGGTTCTGGGGTATATCTACAGTAGAGCTCCTGTTTCCCAGATCTGCGAGAGGAAGAATCCTCAGAAAAGATCTTGTTGGAGCATTTCGCACGGTTTGCTTCCCTTCCTTAGTATCTACTGGAGTTTGCTTTGAATCGTAAACTTGATCAGGGGTTGAACGTAAACTGGAACCTTTCAAAGTCCCTAGATTGAGTTTCGTTGGTATTCAATTAAGACAAGCAACTATGGACGAATTATGCACAATATTACATTTCCTTGCCTCTCCTACCTTTCTTTCCTTTTGCTGGAGATTGTCATTAAGACAATGCTCCCCAGTGGGCAAATAAAGAGCCGCTTATTAGTAGCCACTGTGAGCCACTGTTAGGTGTTGAGTACAGATGGGCTAGGAAAACATATAGGCTCTTTCATTAATCCTAGAAAATTCCAATGGGCAATTCAAGATGTTACACTTGTTGCACTTGCTTGCAATAGAAGACTCATGGAGGATAAGACTGGAATAGGAGATTGTGGCTGCCTGTTAAGATCCAGGCTAACCCTGTGTGTTGTATCTTT